>NT_167245.2:634795-809165 GCF_000001405.40 Homo sapiens
GGCCATGTAAGAAATATCAGTCTTTGGACTCCAAAATTCCAGATGTAGAAATCAAGCTCTCTAACTGGTTTTTCTCTCAGCTTAAATTAGGAGAAAGCATCCTCATTTCCTCCTGGAGGTGGGGGAAGCTTACATTGCACACTACTTCTCACTGAAGAAATATTCTTCAGCCACTGAAGACTGATTAGTCCTCCAAATATCTATTCCTTTGCATGTTATGTGTTCTTGAAGATGTATCAAAAACTCACTAACGAATATACAGTATCCATATATTTTGTGATAGATTAAATATTAATTTTGAGCATGACTTGTAAATTAAAAGTATAATTGCTTGATTAATTTTGATCCTATAATTATTTAAGAATTGAGGCAGCTAAGTATGCCACTATCACATAAAAACAGAATTTCTGAATCCTTTGACCTCTAATGATTATATTGCCTGCCCTTTAAAATTAAGAATTTGGATTAAAGAAGAGTTATTTCTCCCAGATTCATATGGTTCTTAATCATCACCTATGGCTTAAAATCAAATCTCAATTCTCAACAAATTAATTACCTACTAGGCATTATCCAATTTCATCACTTGCTAAATTCTTACCGGCTGACTTGGGTACACACAGCAAGAGAGTTATCATCTGAAGATATCTATGAGTGGTTATTTCACTCCAAAAACAGACGATAATAAATTTTGCATTATTCATTTATTGTATCTAACATTCATTACCAATAAGTCTTTTTAAATTTTTTTATTTTATATTTATTTTTAGTTTTTACTTTTTTAAAAAAATTCAACTTCTATTTTAGACATAGTGGATATATGTGCAGATTTGTTACATGGGAATATTGCATGATGTTCAAATTTGGAGTATGGATCTCACCACCCTGGTAATGAGCCTAGTACCTGGCTTGATAGGCAGTTTTTTAACCCATCCTCCCCCATCCCTGAAGCCTCTGGTAGTCCACAGTGTCTATTGTTCCCATACCTATGTTCATGTGTGCTCAATGCTTAACTCCCACTTATAAGTTACAACATGCAGTATTTGGTTTTCTGTTCCTGTGTTAACTTGCTTAGAATTATGCCCTCCAGCTCCATCCATGTTGCTGCAAAGGACATTATTTTATTCTGTTTTTATGGCTGCATAGTATTCCATGGTGCATATGTAACACATTTTCTTTATCCAGTCTGTCATTCCACATCTTTGCTATTGTGAGCAGCGCAACAATGAACATGTGAGTGTATGTATCCTATTGGTAGAATGATTTATTTTATTTTGATATATACCCATTAATGAGATTGCTGTATTGAATAGTAGTTCTGTTTTAAATTATTTGAGAAATCTCCAGACTGCTTTTCACAGTTGCTGGACTAATCCACATTCCCACCAACAGCATATAAGCATTCCCTTTTCTCTGCAGCTTTGATAGCATCTGTTGTTTTTTGACTTTTTAAATAGTCATTCTGACTGGTGTGAGATAATATCTCACTGCAGTTTTGATTTGCATTTCCCTGATAATTAGTGATGCTGATAATTTTTTCGTATGTTTGTTAGCCACATGTATGTCTTCTTTTGAGAGTGTTTTTTCATGTCCTTTGCCCATTTATTAATGGGATTATTGGCTTTCTGCTTGTTGACTTAAACTTTAAGTTCCCTATAGATTCTGGATATTAGGCCTTTGTCAGATGCATTGTTTGTGAATATCTTCTCCCTTTCTGTAGATAGTGTGTTTGCTCTGTTGATAGTTTCTTTTGCTGTGCAGAAGCTCTTTAGTTTAATCAGGTCTCACTTGTCTATTTTTGTTTTTGTTGCCATTGCTTTTGGTGACTTAGCCAAAAATCTTTTGCCAAGGCCGATGTTGAGAAGAGTATTTCCTAGGTTATCTTCCATGATTTCTATAATTTGAGGTCTTACATTTAAATCTTTAATCAATTTTGAGTTAACTTTTGTATAGGGTAAAAGGTAGGTATCCAGCTTCAATCTTCTGTATATGACAAGGAAGTTATCCCCGCACCATTTATTAAATAGGGAATCATTTCCCCATAGCTTGTTTTCTTCTTATAAATCTAGGAGTTTGGGGTGTCTTTGCTTTTTATGATGTATAATAAGGGATTTACCAATAATGTGTGCTCTCTAACATTAAATCAGCTGTTTTTTTCCAGTGAATAAATTGAGATTAAATGAGTGTACGTGACTATAAATGGCCATAACAAAAAAGAAATAGATAGGGTAGAGACAAAAAGGAAAAAAAATTTCACTTCCTTTTTAAAGATGATCTATTCAGAATAATAAAAATGAGGTGAAAATAGGAAAATATTATTAAGAGCAAAATAATAGTAGAATCAACTCTTTTATAGAGATATACTCATAGAACAGAGTAGGAAAACAGGGACATCATACACTGAAATATTTGCTCTGTTTGTTTCTACAAAAAAAGGAGAAAAAAAGTTAACAAAGTGTGAATTTAAGATAAGGCCTGGAGTGCTGGCTCACACCTGTAATCCTATCACTTTGGGAGGCAGAGGCAGGAAGATCCCTTGAGCCCAGGAGTTCAAGACCAGCCTGGGAAACATAGGGCGACTCTGTCTCAATTTAAGAAAAAAAAAATATAAGCATCAACCCTGAACAGTATTGCCAGCTACATATGTTGTACCTCGATCAGGAGTGACTACATTAGTGCCTGTGATTTAGATTATATCACACTAATGTTATTGATACTAGAAAGTAGTCGTGTGTACCCACAACAGATAGGAAGATCTACATTCCGCAACCTCAAAAATAATGATTTTTGTGTTTCATTACTTGCCATAATAAAGTAACGAGATTTTCTCTCCTGATTAAACATCTAAAAAATGGAATAAAATATATAAAGCAATGATTTTAATACACTGTACAAGACAGGGTTGGGTATGTCCCATGACCCATCAGCCTGATTGGAACAGCTTGTAATAGACAAGGACTTAGGTGGAGTCCTGAGAAGGATATTACCTTAGTAGTGGGGGCTAAATTAATCTCAGAATAAACAATGTTCTGGATCTACCTTAACAAAAAAAAAGTATGCCTCAAAATAAGCATAATAATTTAGGGGAAATACAGACATAAAAAGAGAGAGATTTTTTTAAAGACCCACATAGAACTTGTTTAAATAAAAAATACAAAATATAAAGTGAAAAATGCAGTGCATGGAATAAACAGTAGATTAATTACTGCAGAAGAAAAAATCAAGGAACTTGGAGATATAGATATAAAAACAATCCAAAATGAAGCACAGAGAAATCTTTTTAATAAAATGGACAAAGTATCAATGACCTATGTCATAATTTCAAGCAGTCTAACATATGTGCAAGTGGAGTACTAAAGAAGTGTTTGATTAAAAACATTGAAGAAGTAATGACTGAGTTTTTCCAAATTTGATAAAATATATAATCTATAGATCCAAGAAGCTCAATAAAAATTAAATAGAATAAATATTAGAAAACTTTACAATGAACATCATAATCTATTTGCTAAAAAAGTCATAAAGAAAAATCTTAAAATCAGCAAGAGAAAAATCAACACAGTTATTACAAAGGAATAAAGATAAGAATGGCAGCATGCATCCCACCAGAAATTATGTGAGACAGGTAATGGAGCAACAGCTTTAAAGCACATAAACAAAAGTCTGCCAATTTAAAATTTTATATACAGAGAAAACATCTCTTAAAAATAAGGGCAAAGTACTTTTTCATGCCAACAAAAGCTGAAGTAAATTATTACCAGCAGAACTTTACTACAAGAAATAGTTAAGGAAAGTCTTTAGACAACAACAACAAAAAAATGATACGAGATGAAAATCAGTGTCTCCATGAAGGGACCAAAAGTGCCAGAAATTATAAATATGTGTTTAAGTGTAAAAGACATTTTTATTATTTTTAATTACCTTAAAAATAATAGAATTTTTCAAAAAAAACAGAATTGCAGTATCTTGGATACTAATAACATAAGTAAAAGTAAAATGTGTGACATTAAAATCACAAAGCATGAGCAGGGAGATGGAAGTACAGTATGGCATGACTCTAGCAATACATCTTAAATGGTGTAATATTATGTGAAGAAATATTTTGTGAATTTAAAATGTACATTGTAAACCCCAGAGTAACCACAAAAATATAAAATAAAAAGGTATAAATAAAAGGACAATAGTGAAAATATAATGAAATCATAAAAATATTCCCATAAAAAACAGTAAATGAAAGAAGAAGCAATAACGGACAAATAGGACAAATGAAAGGCAAACAGTTGGAGGACAAATTTAAATTTAATTCTATCAAAAATTTAGTTGGAGGATAAATTTAAATTTAATTCTATCAAAAATTTATCAAATTTAAATTGTGCAAACACTCCAACTGAAACAAAGAGCTTGTCACATTGGCTTAATGGGTATGAAAATGCAGTTAGATAGAATGAAGAACTTCTAGTATTCAACAGTAAACTAATGCAGGGACAGTAATGTAGGTTTAGCTTGATTGTGGTAGTCTCTTCACAATGTGTACATATACTAAAGCATCATGTTGTGAAGCCTAAATATATGCAATTTTTATTTGTTAATTATACTTCAATAAGCTGGGGAAAAACAAGATATTTTCAATGGCTAGAAAAATCTCTCCCTAAAATTAAATACCCATTAAAAATTCTCTTCAAGAATTAAGATTAACAAAAATGATATTCTAGATAAAAACTGTTGTGAGAAAAATTATCATCAGTACATTCCTGCTGAAGGAAACACAAAAGGAAAAAAAATAGGCAAAAATAAAGATTATCTCATATGGAATTTCAGTAAGATACTTCTATTACTTGGAAAATTCCAAAGGTTTTTGTCCTAGGAGAAATGCCACATTCTTTTTTACACAGCAGATTCCTACTCTAACCCTCCCCATACTTCCTACCTCCTTAGTTCTCCTTGCCACCGAATTATCCTGACATATGTACTTACGCGTTTGGTTATTTGGGGCCTCCATCACATTAAACTTTATGTTTGATGACATTATGGAATTTGTTTTGCTTGCTCCTGTGTTTCTTGAACCTACTACACTGCCTAATATAATATGTGCTCAAAATTTTTGAAAGAAAAATATAAACCAGGTAAACAAATCATTTCTTACAGTGAAGTGATGGAAATCAGTCTTAATAGAAATCAGATATCCCTCATTAGTCCTAGTGGTGTTGCTGCCAGTCTTTAAACAACTTCCTACCAAAGATTTTCTTCAGAGCCATCATCACTTCTTTGTTCCTAAGGGTGTAGATTAGTGGATTCAGTACAGGGGTGACGGCGCTATACATGATGGCCATTATCCGGTCCTGAATCATGGAGGTGGCTGAAGCAGGACGAATATATGTGAAGCCCACAGGTCCATAGAAAAGACATACCACCATAAAATGGGAGGCACAAGTGGACAGAGCCTTGTGGAGTATTCTGCAGGACCTGTTCTTAAACAGAAGGAAGCCAATTACATAGAAGCAGGAGAGAAGAGTCAGAAAGAAAGCTCCCATGGATATGCTGCCTGTGACAATGGAAAGAAGCCATTGATTGAGTAATGTGTCACTACAGGCCAATTCTAAGAGCGGCTTGACATCGTAGAAGAAGTGATTGAGTTTCTGAGAGCCACAAAAACTCAGGTGTGCAGTCATGACAGAATGCATCAGAGCGTAAAAGAAGCTGATGAGCCAGGCCGCAGCTGCCAACAGAATACACACCTGGGGGTTCATGATGACAGTGTAGCGAAGAGGATTGCAGATGGCAACAAAACGGTCAAAGGCCATGATAGCCAGTAAAATGGCCTCTGTGCTTCCCAAAAAGTGGAAGAAGTGTAGCTGGGTGATACAGCCTAGAAAAGATATAGCCCTGCGACTGCACACGAGGTTTACAAGCAGCTTGGGCAGTGTCACTGAAGAATAAGAAATATCCAGACAAGAAAGGTTTCCCAGAAAAAAATACATAGGGGAGTGGAGTTGTGGTTCCAAAACAACCATCACCAATATAGATCCATTTCCAATCAAGTTTATCAGGTAAATGATTAAGAAAATCCCAAAGAAGAAAGGCTGCAGCTCCTGAACACCAGTCAGGCCAAGTAGAAGAAACTCATTCATTGTAGTGACATTCTCCATTGCTCTGGGAAGCAAATTTAACAATAACAGAATTAATTTTTCTGAATTTTTAATTTTACACTGTGAGGATTAAATAAAGCAAGTTTACTATTTGGAGGAACCTAGGGGTGAGCAACAGTGTGAAGAATAGTTACGAACAGTAAAACTAAATTTATGTACAACAAAATTGAGGAAGACTAATATACCTGATAAATTCTGAGCTGTTAAAATGGCACTAGACTAATAAAAGCATTATATTATGAACAAATCAGATATAGATAAAGGGCATCTGTTTTCAAAACTAGGAAGTGCAAGATTTGATGGACATAATCATAACCTCATGTATGGCATTAGAATTATGTATTACAAAAATTTTAAACATACAAACAGGGAATAGTTTTTCAACTTATGATTCTAGGTTCTGGCAAAAATTCAGATGTAGCTCAGTGGGGATTTCATCACTTCTTCTAAGATACATAAAAGCCACAAGAGAGTAACACATGTCTTCTGACAACCCAAACTTTCAGTGAAAGTAAGAAACATAAACACCCACAAACCAAATGTTGTATGAGTAGAGGAGAAAAAAACAGCAAAATTAGCATCATTAGTCACAAGACTGTGTCATAGCAATGAGGCAGTGGATGTAGTTGGGAAAAACTTGAAATAGTTAGAGGTCCCATTAGTAGAAGAACTTCGAAAACACCCCCAATTTTTCAATCCAAAAGGGGAGTACCTCCCAGGGAGTGAGAATTTCTGTGGGGCAGGGGATAGAAAAAGGCACAGTCTAAGCACTGAAGGTGATGGAGAGAAGAGGTATAGTAAATATATGAAGAACAAAGGAAGCTTGTCATTTGTAAGTAATTAATAATAATAATAATAATAACAATAATAATCACCACCTTATCAACAGAAGAGGGAGCCCTTGCACTGAGGAATTGGAAATGCTAACTAGGATACTCCTCCCACCCATGCCTACTAAGATTCTTCTGTTAATAATTGGTCCACAATATCATAAGTTCTCCAGTGTAAGTTCTCCGTAAAATAACTCTAAAAATCGACAGAAATAAAGACATAGTTAAAACCACAATCACAATGAGAAGATTTAACAAGTTTCTCTCTATACCTGACAGAATAATCAGCCAAAAAGTCAGTAAGGATATAAACATCTGAACAACATAATTTACAAATTTGATTAACATATAAAGAACACTGAACCCAACCAAAAAATAATTCACATTATTTTCAAGTATATCTTGTACATATTTACAAAATCAAGCATGAGTTGAGTATTACCAAAAGGCTTCAAAAGGTTTCAAAAGGTTGAGCTATTCAAAGAATGTCCCTTGACCACACTGGAATTAAAAAACAATAAGAAAAATGCATCTAGAAACTCACCAATTTCTTCATATTATGTAATACACACAAATAATTCATAAAGAAAAAATTCAAATAAAATTAGAATAAAATTGAAATGAACAATGATGAAGATGAGATATATCAAAACTTTTGGCATATAGCTAAAGAAATAAATAGAGGGAAATTGTCAGCCTTAAATGCATATGTTAGAAAAAAAGAAATATTGAAAAACCAATAACCTAAACTTTCATTTCAAACAGCTAAATGAATGAATGCATGAATGAATGAACAAATAATCCA
The DNA here is from genome assembly GCF_000001405.40 of Homo sapiens. Lineage (NCBI taxonomy): Eukaryota > Metazoa > Chordata > Mammalia > Primates > Hominidae > Homo > Homo sapiens. The sequence goes on from NT_167245.2 coordinate 642,571, forward strand.
ATAACTCAAACCTAAACAAAGTAGAAGGGAAATAGCTAAAATAATAACAAGAATAATTGAAATAGAAAACAAAAGTTCAATAAAGAAAAGTCAACAAAGTCAAAATTTAGTCATTTGAAAAGATTAATGAAAGTTATCAACTCAGTAAAATTGTTAAAAGAGAGAGAGAATACAAATTTTAAGCTAGTATCACTACAGATACTATCAACGTCAAACATTGTAAAAGGTCGTTATGAGCGACTTCATGCCCAAGAATTTGGCAATTTAAATAAAATTTTAAAATTACTTAAACCAAAAGTAACTTACCAAAATTGACAGTAGAAGAAGGACAATTTCAATAGTTTGATATTTATATAGGAAAGTGTAGTTCTTATTCAAAATTTTTCCAGAAAGGAAACACCAAGTCCAGATTTTACTGGTGAATTCTACCAAATAATTAAGGAAGAAATAATAACTTACACAAATACTTTCAAAACAATGAAAAAGGAGCACTTCTATATTTCTTTTATAAGGTTAGCACAACTTTGATACCAACACTTTAAAAAGAACTCAACAGAGGCCAGGCGCGGTGGCTCACGGCTGTAATCCCAGCACTTTGGGAGGCCGAGGAGGGCGGATCACGAGGTCAGGAGATCTAGACCATCCTGGCTAACATGGTGAAACACCGTCTCTACTAAAAATACAAAAAATTAGCCTGGTGTGGTGGCAGGAGCCTGTAGTCCCAGCTACCCGGGAGGCTGAGGCAGGAGAATGGCTTGAACCCGGGAGGAGGAGCTTGCAGTGAGCTGAGGTCGCGCCACTGCACTCCAGCCTGGGCGACAGAGCGAGACTCCATCTCAAAAAAAAAAAAAAAAAAAAAAACTTAACAGAAAGGAACTGCAGACTAACCTGTCTTGTGACTATAGATGCAAAAATCTTGAAAAAATGCATAAAAACAAGCAATATCTACATCGCAACCAAATAAAATTTATTTCAAGATGTAAGGGTAATTTAACATTAAAAAATAAATTAATACAATAGCCATATTAGAGAAAGAAAACAAGAAACACCACAGATGCAGTAAAAGCATTTGATTATATTTAGCACCCACTCATGATTTAATAAAATAATCCTTAGCAAACTAGGGATACAAGGGAAATTAGTTTATTTGATAAAATTAATAAAAAATACCATAAGAAAAGATCATACCTAATGAAGAAACATGAAAAGTTTCAGATCAGGAATGAGACAAGGATTTCTCCTATCATCACTTTTTTGAACATTGTCCTAGAGGTTCTAGCCAGTGTCATAAAGCAAGAAAAAAATAAATAAAATACTTTAGAATTAGAAAGGAAAAAATAAAACTCATTTTCATAGATGATATGCCTGTATGGTTAGAAGATTTCTGAGATATGAGGACATTAAACAAGAATTAAATATATTTTATATGCTAACCACAATCAAATGAAAATAAAATGTCCAATGATATTTTCAATAGCATCAGAAACAATAAATGTATAGAAATAAAACTAAACAAAAATATATAAGATCTCTATCCTAAAAACTACAAAACATTATTCTGAGGAAATAAAGAATATCTAAATAAATAGAGGAATATGGTATATTCATGGGCTGAAAGATATACTATAATGAAGATGTCTACTCTCCTAAAAGTAATCTAAAAAGTCAACGCAATCCCAGTACAAGTCCCTGATTTTTAAAATATAAAATTGTCAAGCTGATTTTAAAAGTTACATAGAAATGCAAAGGAATGGGGAACCTGAAAACCCCCTGGGGCTGGGTTCTCACCTGCATCTGGAGACCTTCCTGAGCCCCCAGCAACAAAACCACAATGCAGTGCCACTGCACAATAACTAGAACAGTTAAAATAAAAAAGTGATGGAAAACACCAAGTGTCAACAAGGATGTAGAGCACCCTGAGCACTCATATACTCCTCCAGGGAGTTTAATCAGCATAGTGATTTTGGAAAACAATCTGGCAGTATCCTCAAGCTAAACATACGCATATATGAATAAGCCAGAAATTCCATTCCTAGGTATATAGCCAATAGAAGGTGCACATACCAAAATATATAAAAATGTTCATAGCAGCAATATTTTTTATCAAAAACTGACAACTATATAAATGTCCATCAACAAAATGAAACATTGTGAAGGAGTCAAAATGAACTACAGCTATATTAAGTAATATGGATGAAGCTGTTTCTTCATGTGGGTGTGTTGGTTATACAGATATGTCATTTTGTGAAAATTTATTGAGACTCAGGATTTATCCACTTTTCTGTGTGTGTGTTGTACTTTATATGTCATATAAACTTTTACAGAAAAAAAGAGAATAAGAGAGGAAACAATAATCTTGGATTTGGAAATGATTTTCTAAATATCATAGAAAAACCTGAAGCAATAAAAGATTACCAAATTTGACTACATAGGCATCGAAAATGTCTGCATGACAAAAATCCTACAAATAAAAGATCAAAACGCATCCAGGAATAAAATCACAAAGCAAATTGTAGACCATGTGCTAACATTCTTAATATATAAATTATTTAATAAACCTAAAAGACACAGACCAATTTTTTTTAAAGAGAGAAACATACAGACAATTTATAGAAAAGGAAATATGAATAGATCTTAAAGATAGGAAAAGATGCTCAACCTCATTAAAAATAAGAAAAATGCAAATTGAAATATGACATGCAGGCAAGCGCTACAGCAGGCTGCCGTGAGCACTGTAAAGAGCACCAACGCGCTGCACCTCGACTCCCACCCCACTTAGTCACAAGCACATGCCCATCTGCTCAAGGCATGTTCTGCCGCTGCCCAGCTCAGGTCTAAGCACCCAGCAAGTTTGAGATTTTTCGAAATAAAATAACTTAAAAACAGTGATTTTGACTTCCGGATAAGATGGTATATACAGGTTTCTCCCATCTCCCTTCCCATTAAGTACAACTACAAACCGTAGAAACAATACAAGAGGTAACCAAAAAAGAATTCTCAAATGTGGGAAGGTGAACTGCTTTGGGATTCCAGAACTGTAGGAACCACACAGCAGCAGGGCTGTCCCTTCACCCAACTAAAGAAGGCAATTAGTTTATTTGACAAAAAATGTTTGCCTCTTCCAACACGCCATCCCACAACAAAAGGCAGCCTAGGTAGGTTTTTTCCTGCCTCCTATCAAAAGGTAGTTCCTCCAACAACACAGCACTTGAGTAAGGGGGGCCCATCAGGAATTCTACTAACCCAGAGAAGTACTCTACTCAGCTCCTCTCTCCCTGCTGTCTGGCATTCTCTTCCCCTAAAGAGAGACAACAGGGCAGTCAGGTGGCATCTGGAGAAGGACCCCACCATAACAAGCATCCTGGCCCTCGGGCCCTGCAGGCCTGAGACTTCCTTCTGCCACCCACAGACACCAGAGTGAGAAAGGGGGAAAGAGGGCACCAGCAAGAAATATTCCAATTTGACAATCATCCAGCAAGTAGCAGTCTCTGTCCGGCACAAGCAGGCAATCCCGCCACAAGCACCCCGACAGGGAAGCCTCTTTGTCCTCAGTCTTGATATTCTCTCCACCGCACAAGGACACCAGAAGGCTTAGCCTAAGGAAATCCCTTCTTCTGCCTTCTCAGGCAGTACCAGCAGAGAACAATGGAAACCCCAGTAGTACCAAATAAAACTAGAACACAAAAATAACAGCTAAAAGTCTCTTAAAAAATTGCCATTGGATGCACAGCCTACAAAATTAGGTCAGGACCTGTGTGCTAGGTCTAAACAGAGTGACTATCTGCTAAAATTAAAGATTTAAACAGGACCTAAATTCCAGTTTATAGTTCTGTAATAGCCAAAATGTCCAAGATACAATATTTTAAAACTCTACCTGTTATAAATTATAGAACTGGAAAGTTCAGTAACAGAAATAAAATCTCACTGAATGGGCTCATTAGTTAAGTGGAGATGACCAAGGATGAAATCAATGAGCATGAGGACAGATCAACAAAATGTAGCCTATCTGAACAATGGGAGAAAACAGACTGAGAAACAATGCAAAGAACCTCGGGGACCTATGGGACAATAACAAGAGATTCAACTTTCATATCATCAGAGCTCCAGAAGAAGAGGAGAAAGAAAATAATGCCAAAGGGTATTTAAATAAATAATAGTTTAAAACTTCCCAAATCTGTTGAAAACATAAGCATATACAGGTTGAAGAAGCTGAATAAACCCCTTGCAGGATTAATCCAAAGAAATCCAAGCCAAGAAACATCATAATTTGATTAACATTACATATACTATTATACTATATAGCATGTGTATATATAAACACACAAACATAAATATATAGAGTAATATGCAGTTCAACTCCAAGGACAGTACGAAACAAAAAAAATGCATTCCAATATCTCTCATGAATATAGACAAAATATCCTCAATCAATTATTAGAAAATAGAATGCAATATGTAGAAAGAATTTACATAGGCCAAGTGGATTTATTTCAGGTGTACAAGACTACATAGACATTTGAAAATCAATAAATGTAATCTATCATATAAATAGAATAGAGAAGAAAAATTATATGATCGTATTAATTGAGGCAAAAAACAAATTTGATAAAATCCAACACCCGTTTATGATAAAAACTCTCAGCAAGCTAGGAATAGAGAGAAATTGTGTCAACTCAATAAAGATCATCCATAAAAATCTTCCAGGTAAATGCTTTCCTTCTAAGATTAGGAATAAAGCGTGGATGTCTGCTCTCACCACTTGTAGTAGGCAAGAAAAAGAAATAAATGGCACATATATTGAAAAGTAATAAATACAAATGTACTTATTTTCAGATGTCATTATCTATGTAGAAAACTCCCTGGATTCCACATAAAAATTCCTATAGCTAATACATGAGTTCAGTAAAGTGACAGGATACAAGATTAACACAAAAAATTAAATATTTTTAATAAACTATGAATATGTGAAAACCAAAATTAAAACACAATTTAATTTATAATCTCTCAAAATATGGAAATATCTGGCTGTAAATCTAAAAAAAATGTTTAGGAGTTGTATGCTAAAAACTTCAAGCACAGATGAAAGAAATAACAAAAGATTTACATAAAGTTAGAGACATATTATATTCATGGATTGTAAGATTTAACATAGTAAAGATGTCAATCCTCTCCAAATTGATATACAGGTTTAACACAATTCTTATCAAAATCCCAGAAATATTTCTTAGTAGACATAGATAGGATTATTCTAAAATGTGTATGTAAAGGCAAAGGAAATTGAATAGCTAACACAATTTGGAAAAAGAAGAATAAAAGTGGAAAAATCAAATTACTCAATGTTAAAGCTTATTATTTAACTATAGTTATCAGGTTTTGTATGGTATTAACACAAGTGATAGTGAAACAGATCAATGGAACAGAATAGAGAACCCATAAATCAGCCCACACAAATATGTCCAACTGATTTTTTATGAATGTGCAGAGTAACTCAATGGAAGCAAGACTGTCTTTTCAAGAACTAGTTCTGAAATAATTGGACATCCATAATAGAAAAGAAAAAACAAACTAAATTCAAATTTCACCTCATATACAAAAATTAACACAAAATAGATCATGGACTTATATGTAAAATGTAAAGCTACATATCTTCTAGAAAAAATAGAAAACAGTATTCAGGGTCTAGAGCTAGGCAAGGAGTCCTTAGATTTTCCACCAAAAGCATGACACATTAAAGGAAAAATTTTAGTTTGACCTAACCAGAAAAAAAAAAAGCTCTGCCAAAAGACTCTATTAAGAAAATGGAAAGACAAGCTGAAGACTGAAAAAAAGAAATACTGTTTCAAATCACATATCTGAGAGAACTCTCAAAACTTAATAGTATTCTTAAAAGTCCAAAAACATGGGCAAAAACTAGGAAAAGACATACAAACATAAACAGAAAATGATATATAAATGGCAAATTAACACAGGAAAAGGTGTTCAAAATCATTTTCATCAGCACAATGCAAATTAAAACCAGTAAAATGCTACAACACATCTATCAAAATAGATAAAATAAAAATAGTGACAACACCAAATGCTAGGGAGGATACAGAAAGACTGGATCATGAATATAAAACTGGTCAGGATATAAAATGGTACAACTGCTCTGGAGAGAGTATAGTCGTTTCTTACAAAATTAAACATACACTTACTATATGACCCAACAATTGCACGCTTTGGAATTTATGTCAGTACAATAAAAACATGTTCACACAAAAACTTGTATGTGAATGTTCATAGACTATTTGTAATAGCCAAAAACTGGAAATACCCCAAATGTCCTGCAATGGAGAAATGCTTACACAAACTGTGGTATATCCATACCATGGAATGCTACTTAGCAATAAAAAGAAAACAACAATTTGGTAAACTCTCCAGGAAATTACGCTTAATTTTTTAAAAAGTGAAATCCAAAAAATTATATACTGTATGATTCCATTTATATAACATTTTTGAAATAATATTTTAGAAATGGGGAAAAGATTGGTAGTTACAGTTGGAGAATGAAGTTGGAGAAGGAGCAGAAGAGAGGTGTGTGTGGTTATGAAAGGATACCAAGAAAGATCCTTGTGGTGGAGGAACTATTCTGTATTTTGACTATGATGGCAGATACAGGAACATGAGATAAAACTGTGTAGAATTAAACTCAGATACACAAAACAAATGAATACAAATAAAACTGGGGCTATCATTAAGATTCATGGGTTGTATCAGCATCAATATCCTGATTGTGAAACTGCTGCAATTTGTTACCATGGGGAGGAACCATGTAAAGGGAAAACAGCATCTTTGTGTATTTTTTCTTACAACTGCATATTGTAATCATACATAAGATTTTAATTAAATGGCAAATCATATTTGTACAAAGATCAAAATACTTAATAAATTATATGTGTTTGAGAATGGCTAAATAGGAATTTCTGATGATAATTTGTACTAGTTATATGCTGGGTAATTTTTTCAATAGCTCTCAAAGTTGAAAATTGTGAATCACATACTTTGTGTTATAATTTACCTGTAGATATTATTCAATGTGTGGAAATCATTATTATATACCATAATATTTATTTGAGTATTTTAAAAGCAAAAATTAGACAGAACCCTAAGAGCCAAAGTAGGGGATGAGGTGAATTATTACACCTATGAGAGAGAATAATATGCAGCTTTAAAATATATATATGTACATATATATACACACACAAAGAAAATAGCCAGGTGGATAGATACGGAAAGGTGCACAAATCATATATATGCAAATTTTTACATATGTACCTATATACATATAAATTATATATGTTATGAATGCCAAGGTGACTTGTTAAATGATATAATCAAGATGCAGCACAATGTGAGTAGTATGCTAAAACTTCTGTTTAACATTTTTTTCTATACGCACATGTACTTCTGAATGGACATAAAAGAAACTGATAACTGTTGTAGTCTCTAGGAAGAGAAACTGGCTGTCAAGGAAACAAAGGCAGAAGAAATACTCTTTTTAGTATATTTTGAATTTTGTACCATGTTCATATATTATGTACTCAAAAAAAGAAATTATTTTCTTTAAAAATAAGCATGGCAATACTATGCACAAATATATAGTTGTGAAAAAGAGCAGTGAACTGAGCATCTAAAATATTTAGGCCCAGTAATATTATGTATAAATGGCAGTGTATATGACAAGTACAGTCTGTTTTATAGATGGCAAAGTGGAGACTGTGACTTACTTTGGACTAGAAAGTCGTTACTTCGGCATCTGTTTTACAGATTATACTTGTCATACGCACTTCTCTGTTTTATCAAATCAAAGGCACTATTCCATTTATTCTTTTTTTTTTTCAAGACTGTCTTGCTCTGTCACCTAGGCTGGAGTACAGTCATGCAATCTTGGCTCACTGCAACCTCTGTCTCCTGGGTTCAAGCAATTCTCAGGCTTCAACCTCCCAGATAGCTGGGATTACAGGTACGCATCACCACACTGTGCTAATTTTTGTATTTTAGTAGAGACAAGGTTTTACCACGTTGGCCAGCCTGGTTTCTAGTGCCTGATCTCAAGTGATCTGCCCACCTCGGCCTCCCAAAGTGTTAGGATCACAGGTGTAAGCCACCATGCCTGGCCACCATTTATTCTTATAGGTAGAATTTTGCATGTCTGTCTACTCATTGGAATATCAGATTATTAGAGGTGAAAGAAACTGAAAGTATCTTATTCTTCATATTCTTACAGTTCCTATACCATGTAGAAAAACAGAACAATGGTGTAGAAAAATAATCTATAGAATAAAATTGGTCACTTATTCTGGCTATCCATGTACTCTTACAAATGACTGTTATTCTAATATAATAATTAGTAAATATGAAATAAATTCCAAGAAAAAATGAACATAATATTGAAAGAAAGACAAATAGTAATATCTTTAAGTGACTTTGAACTAGTGACTTTGATATCATAACTACATGTCTTCCAAGTATAAAATTTATTCTGGCTATATAGCTTCTAAGAGGGAGATCTCTTGTCTAACCCCCACTCTGAGTTCTAGACTTACCTAATTTCATATTTGACTCTCCACTTGAATTCACACAAAAGCTTGTATTCATATATTCATAGAATCTTTATTCATAACAACCCAAAACTGGAAGTAGCCCAAATGTCCTTCAATGGAGGGATGGTTGAATTCTTTACTGAATTACAAAAATCAACACGTCAAACAGAACGCATCCTCTTTCCAAGCATGCTCTCACAGTGTTTCAACGTAGTGAACAGAATAAAAACCATCTAGTTGTTCAAACCAGAAATGTGAGAACCACATTGATTTCTCCTTCGCTTCAATCCACTCTCTTTAAGTCAGTCATCAAGTCTCTGAAACATCCCTCAAATTCACGTCTCTTTATCCACACTGCCGCTATCCTGGCCCAAGTCATGATTGCCTTTAAACTTAACTACTTCAAAGCAGCCCTACAGTTCTTTTCTTCCCCTACTCTCAAGCCATCTTCATAGTGTAACCAGAATGATTGTTTAAAGGCCTGCGTTACAGTATAAATTTCTATGTGAAACATTTCAGTACCTTCCAACTGGACAAGCTTACAAACCCTCCATGAATGTCTGTGGCTTATCTCTTCAGTCTCACCTTTTATATTACTTGGATGTGATCCTACTGGATATCTTCCAATTCCTCAAATATATCAAGGTGTCCCTTGACAGGGACTTCATTCATGCTTGTCCTCCCTGGATCACTCTTTACTTCCCCTGTCCCTTTTTTTTTTTTTTTTTTTTTTTTTTTTTTGAGACAGAGTCTTGCTCTATCGCCCAGGCTGGAGTGCAGTGGTGCGATCTTGGCTCACTGCAAGCTCCGCCTTCCCGGTTCACGCCATTCTCCTGCCTCAGCCTCCTGAGTAGCTGGGACTACAGGCGCCCACCACCACGCCCGGCTAATTTTTTGTGTTTTTAGTAGAGACGGGGTTTCACCATGTTAGCCAGGATGGTCTCGATCTCCTGACCTTGTGATCTGCCCTTCTCGGCCTCCCAAAGTGCCGGGATTACAGGCGTAAGCCACTGTGCCTGGCCTCCCGTCCTTTAATGTAAGAAAATATCTATTTATCCTTTGGGTTTCAGCCTATCTCAAATTAAGTTAGACCCTATTATGATACCCTTCTATAGGTTTCTGTACTTCCATTTGTCTGATAATCATTATTATCCTTCTTCAGCTACTTTCTCCTATCATTAAACTCTAGATTTATTACTCATTACTCACTAGTCATTAATAACTTCAACCCTTCATGATCTCAGTAATAAGCATCCTAGACTCCAACTACCACCAGGTAAATTCATAATTTACTCTCTGCAATACCACAAATCCTATAATCTTTATCCCCTAAATTACAGTTATTCTATTTCATGTTCTTTACTACTCTCATGTACTCACACTCCTCCTTACTCATCTTAAGTTCCATATGCATATTTATAGTCACTTTATAGTAGCATATATCCTTACATCCCTTGACCAATTTGTGCTTCATGTCTTTACCTGGAAAAAGTCAAACCACTCTCTACTTACTCCGCATCTAAACATTTGCAGCTGAACACGATTGGAGGAAAATGCACCTGTGCTCACTTGCCTAGATCTAAATTCATTAATACTCAACTGCATTGAAATCTTGGGAATGCCATTGACTCAGCCACCAGGCCCACCCACCTGATGACCCAAGCACTAAGCCATCCTGCCCAGGACTCCAGGAACAAACCTACTTCCAGACCACGCCATATGACCTGCCCAGAATCTCTGGATAGGCTGATGCATGAAGGGCGTTCCCTGCCGAAACAGTCTGTAAAGACTGGAATATATGCCTATTTCTTCAGATGCACAGACACCAATGCATGACCACAAGGATCATGAGCAATAAAAAAAAACCCTGAAATCTTAGAGATGCCAATCAATTACATATTTCCCTTTCTCTTTACAGCCCATACCTCTAACTCTTCTCTCTCATCCTCTCTCTCGGAGAGTGACATTGTTTCTTTTATTTTGGAAAAGTAAAGGCAGTCAGAAGAGAGTATCTCCAAGTTTCATCCTAGTATCTACCCACAGTTTTGTAACTGTGTTCATATACTGTGCATTCACTCTGTTTCTAATGGTTTCATAATTGATACTCCTGATGAAGACCACCTCTTCCACCTGTGTCCAAGAACCCATTCTCTCTCATCTTCTAAGAACACTGCTCCAGTTATTTTCTCATCTCTGTCTTAAATCATGAAAATTTTCCTCTCCTGTACTACCTTTCTACCTCCATTCCATTTCTGTGTTCCCCTTTACAATTAAATTCTGTAAACATTTGCCTATACCAGCTGTTTGCAATCCTCTTTCCATTCCCTCCTACACCTATACCAATTAAAATTTTACCCTCACTCTTCTACCAAAATTTCTTTTATAAACAACACCAATAACAATTACATTAACAAATCAAAAAATGAAGATTCCTCCATTTTTATCAAAGGACATGGCAACACAGAACATAAACATGTATATTTGTAGAAAAAGTAATGGTTTTTAGCCAATAGGTACAGGTTTTTCCACAATTCATTTTTGGCATGACCTGCTCTCAATGGCATTAATAATTCTTATTGATTAATTAGCATCAGTAAGTAGTATTGAATATTTAATTATAAGATTGGTGAATTGGCACAAAAACCTAGGAGCTGTATTCCGTGGGTATAGATACAGAATAAATGTTCAAAGTGAAATTATTGATAGTGGAGAGAAGAGAATTAATTTCAGGAATCATAAACATAGCTGAAGGACATTGTAACAGATGCATATAATTAAGGGTTTGGGATGTACGCTTGTGAAACTACATAAGTAAATACTTTATACAACAGTTTTGAAATTATTTTTTCCTAAATAATTAACACCATCCCTCTTCTACTAAAAATAATACTACTGCAAAGTTATATAATTATCTAACATTAAATACAATCTAATATATTATCTAACACGAATTGGAATCTGCTACTTTTATGAAAACTGATTGTGATAGATACTAAAAGGTTACTCACCTATTTTTTTTTACTTCTCCCTCACTTCCTTTTCCCTTTATTTCGTCTCTTTGTAACACAAATATACACACACTACCACTATCTCCATTAAACAGTCGTACACACTCAGACACTTAACTATAACATACATCTATACTTGATCATAGAGTCTGCTGCCCTGAAACCAAAAAAAGTCCAAAAAAAGCATAAGTAAATAGATCAGGAAATTTGAAGCTTCCCTCATAAATGTTTTATGTAATGAGCCCACCTGTTGCATCCTGTAATCTTCATAGCCTATATTCAAAGAGGTTCCTCCATCACTCTAACCCACTCATTCCAGTGATCTCAACCTCTTTTCATCAACAGTTTTTCTCTACTATCATAATATCATTTTTCTATTTAGTCTAAGCCAATTTGCTCTGCACATTCCTTTGCACGTATCTTAGTATAAATATAATTTTTGGGTCAAAAGAGTTATCCAAATATCATAGATCAGATGTATTTATTGTGTCCTTGAATAAAGTTATCAGAGAAAGTTCTGACTGCTCAAAACCTATTATAAACACCCTTATTGAAAACAACTTACATGGAATCTAAGCAAATCTCATGTCTTATTATGGACAGAAAATGAACAGGCTAAATCTTCTCAGTAAACCTTCCCAGTAGCATCTTGAGCATTAACACTTTGGGATTTTCTCTCCAAGGACTTATTCTCTTTATATTTCTCTTCCCCTGTGTATCAGTTTATTCTTTCTTTGATGTGCTTATGAGATCACTACATTGATTTAAGTAATAATAATAAATTTTTGGCAGAGCCCTTCATTAGTCATAAGAAAAAAAGAGTGATGATAATATAAAAGAAAGAGAAGACACAGCTCCTATCCTTGAGAAATCTAACATCTAATGAATCTGAAAAGTAATATCACTTAGAACAATATAATGAAAACTAAAAATGATTAATTATAAACTGAGGTCTACAGATATTGAAATGGAAAGATTTAAGCAAATTATGATCAAACAGGGAAGACTAAACAGTGGAGATAAATTTGGTTAACATACTTTTAGGGATTAGTGTTTATATAGATTCTTGGCAGAGACAACTTTATGTATGGAGCCCACTGAAATAATTAAAAACATCTAACTAAAGTCATTATTTGTACTATTATGATCAATGTTCTTTCTTACTGTGAATAAAGAAATGGTAAATTTCCTGAGCCCTATGTTAATTCATGAACAACCAATAAAATCAATTTTATGATTTACTAGAAATATCTCCAAAGTTTTAATTTCAACTATCGCTGTTACTTTAGGGTAAGTGTCAAAGACAAGTCATGTTAACACACAGATTAGTTGTAGGATGAGACTCACTGAAATAGCTCTTAGGAAACTGGGTCTTAGACAATTTAGTTTTCAACAAATTGGCCTATTCCCCTTCAAAGTCCCATACAATGGAGAGTTATGCTGCCAATATGGCCATGAAAGCTCCTTAGAGGAATAAAATGCAAAATAAATAAAACAAAAACTAAACATCCTAGAGAATGATTAAAAGCAAGCATATTTGTGAGTGGAATCAAAGATAGAAAAAAGGGATAGAGAACTAGGTGGGGTTTTTTTTCCTGATATCTGTATCTTTGGTACAGTTCTTATTCATAACCTAAATTGTTTTCCTGATTTCTTTGTATAATTTTTAAATACTGTCTGGTATCTCACTGAGCTGTTTTAGTAACAAAATTTTGAATACTCTGCCTGGGATTGTTGACATTTCTTTTTTATTGGGATCTGTTGCTGGAGAATTATTGTGTCCTTATGTTGATATCTGCATATCTAGTATAACAGTTACTTTTTTAAATTTTTTGAATTTGCTCTCATGGGGAGGACTTTTTCCAGAAGATGTATCTAAGGTGTAGTTTGGGTAGGGTTCTCTGGTTTTGATTCTGGGTGTGTACAATAGTGCAGTCTCTGTATGATTTCTTCATCTGTAAACAGTGTCAGTGGTGTCTGTGATTTCTTTGGTGGCTTAGGATATGGTTGTTAGTGGAGGCTGTGCTGAAGTCTTGCTAAGAACTGAGATGCCAGTTGGGCCAGTCTTCGGCTTCCATTGGTAGAATCAGTGGGATGAGCATGTGTGTCCTTGGGCCCCAGGGCAGCATACACTGGCACCAATGTTAGCGGGTTTAGGCAAGACAGTTCTTGTGCTTCCAAGTGGCTTGCTTGGCTTCTGGGAATGGCATCAGTAGTTCAGGTATGAAGTTGAATTCTTGAGCCCTTTGGCAGTGGATGTGGTGTGGGTGATGGCAGTAGCAGTGGTGGGACAGCCCTCTGGGACCCGTGTAGTCCATGCTGATATTGGCAATGGCTGTGACAGGTTGGGCAGGTCAGTTCCCAGATCCACAGGAGGCACATGACTGTGGATGTCAGCTGTGGTGCCAGGGGAAGGTTGAGTGGGGCTGACCTCAGATCCCAGGAGGGGTGCTGAGGAGCTACCAGTGATGGACTGGGCTAAGTGACCCTCGGGCCCCTGTACGGTGTGCTCAGATTCTGTGGGTGGGTGAAGCCAGGCTGAGTAGACCTTCCCATGGGCTCCTTGGTGGTGTATGAGGCACTGGCTATGGTAGGCAGGGGCAGGGGGATCCCCAGGCCACAGATGGAATGCTCAGATAGGGGTGGTAGTGGCTGTTTTGTGGTCATGGACTGGGGAGGACTGGGTTGCTTTTCCTGGGAACAACCATAGGCAAGAAACTGGGGAGGCATGGGCTTTGCTCATGCCTCTGCCCCACAGTAGTTCATCATGGCAGCAGTTGCAGGCAGTGAAATTTGTCCTCAGGGCAAGTAAAAATGTGTAGTTGTCCCTCTGGTCGGGGTAACGGGAGGTGGGATTACTCCCTAGGGCTCTTGCCTCGGTCTCAGAAGCAGAGTAAGATGCAGTGCGTTGGGATCTGTGCTGTCAAAATGGTGCCGTGCTGCAGTTAGTTAGGACTTAGGGTTCGTGGGACCCAGTGTGAGGTTCTTTCTTGGGTAGCGCCTTCACGTGGTCTCCAGGCAGCTCCCTATGTTAGTCTCAGGGGCTACGATGGTTGAGGGGATCTCCTGTGGCTAGAATTGTAGGTATCTGTGGTGAAATGTGGGCTGCTGGGAGTCTGCCCCTTTCCCTTTTCCCACATTGGAGAGCCGCTCGAGACTCATATCCGATCTTGGTTGAACAGGCGGTCTCATTTCCTTCTCCTTTGCTTTTGGTGCTTCCTGGTCACTTCTCTGCTGACTTTCGGTGTTCTCTCTTAGATGATCTATTCAACGTGTGATTATTGACTGGTTATTTTGGTTACTTTACATGGAAGGGCCAAGTACCAGATGTATCAAGTCAGCCATGTTGGAGCCTCTCCAGCTCCATTCAAGGGGCCTGTTTTGAGTTGGCCCTAGGCCTTTCCCCGTAAGCAAACTTTCTATAACATTGAAATTACTTGGGAAAAAAAGCTGTCAAAAGACTTTGAGGGTGTTTTGTTTTGTTTTGTTTTGTTTTGTTTTGTTTTGTTTTGTTTTATGGCGTCTCACGCTGTCACCCAGGCTGGAATACAGTGGTAATCTCTGCCTCCCAGGTTCAAGCAATTCTCCTGCCTCAGCCTCCTGAGTAGCTGGGATTACAGGCGTACACCCCCATGCCCAGCTAATTTATGTATTTTTAGTAGAGATGGAGTTTCACCATGCTGGCCAGGCTGGTCTGGAACTCCTGACCTCAAGTGATCCACCTGCCTCGGCCTCCCAAAGTGCTGGGATTACAGGCGTGAGCCACTGCACTCAGCCAACTTGGAGGTATTTTGGGGAAAAAAAAAGAAGTAATGATTTTTCCTAACTTATGAGATATTAAGACCTACAATAACATCATATTACTTAAATTACAGCTTATTCAATGGAAAAAATAGTCAGTGGAGAAACAAACCATGTATTGAGGGGAACTTGGAATAGTATAAAGATGGCCTCACAAATCGATGAAGAAGGAATGGTTAGTCTGTCTACATAGAGACAACCAGAACCAAGACTAGCTGATTATCTCACAGGATATGTAAATATAACCTCTAGAAGACTAGAGTCCTAAATGACAAATATAAAACTCTAAATCTAATTAACAGAACCAGTTACATAATCTTTAAGTTTCAATGCAAGATAAAAAATGATAAAATTGAAGTGGGGGACATTTTGAAAAAATGGAAATTACATTGCAGTGATCCCTAAAACTAAAGAGCCTTATTTTGAATCCTAGTTTCACAATCCATTGCAAGGAAAAGGAAACTTTACTTAAATCCTTTGAGCCTTGGTTTTCTTGTAGTAAAGGAATAATTTTAATACTTTTACATTGGGTTTTTGTGAGAATTAAATGAGCTAATATATGTGAAGAACTCAGAACAATAACTTATACACAATGAGCATGCAATAAATGTTATTTATTTATAATATATTAGCAGTATATAAAATAAGGAATTATTTGTATGTGGAATGGCTCATACCTATAATCCCAACATTTTGGGGGGATGATATTGGTGGATTGCTTGAGACCAGGAATTAGAGGCTGCAGTGAGTTATGATTGCATCACTGCACTCCAGCCTGGATGACAGAGCAAGACTCTGACTCAAAACAAGAAAAAAAATTAAAGATTTAAAAAAAAAAACAAAATTAAAAAATTAAAATAAGATATTATTGTGATAAATATATATAATAAACTTTTGCCAAGCAACAAAAATGGAAACTCAATAGAAAGATGGAAAAAATACATCATAGTTACAACTGTTAGTAGAATCCTTGGATTGATGGAAGGTCACGCATAGATACCCTGGTGTAATTCAGACAGAATTTTCTTATCTAAAAATTAGCAAAAAGTAATGCTACACATTGGTAAGACCAAAATCCTTATCCCAAACAGAGAAAAATGTGAGCTTTTGGACCCCAAAATTAATTATTTAAAATAATTTAGTATTATTAGCAACAGTGAAGAGTAAGATGTAGAAGGTACAAAAGCAATACTATTTCTCTTTATGTCTCTTTCTTTGGTTTTCATAGAACCACAGTAGAATATTAAAGATAATCATCTTTCTGTACTGATCAATGGAATGTGAGTGACCATATTTATTAATTTTTATTGCCAATTTTCTTTCACTTTATATACCAAAATATTTTCCAAGGGAGCCCTCAAGAAGAGAAAGTGAATCTGAACCTCTACCATAGGAAATGAAAGGAAATTTGACTAGGAAAAAGTATTTTAAATAAACAAATAAATATTTTAAAAAACAGTATTGTGAAAGGTCAAATAAAATATTGGGTTACTATTTTAAAGAAAAAATCCAGCAAATATATTAAGCTATTGAAAACTGTCTTGTCCATGGTTATGAAACCAAGGAACAAACATATTAAGAAAAAAAGATAAGAAGAACGACAACAACAGAAAAGTGGAATTCTACAGAGAAATTCCATATGGCTATCTCCTTATGCTGCAGGTGCAGAGAGACCTCCTGTTTATTCTCACGACAATCCTTCTCAGCACCCAGGGGACAGTTTCTCTCAGGTTTTTATGTCTAGAGATCTGCAGCTCATTGGAAGGCAGGCAGATTTTCAGAGAGGAAAAGATTTTTGAAGATAATTTATGCTGCAATCCCAACATCAACCATCACTTCAAATATTTTTCTATTTATAATCACTGGGAGTATAAATCTGAAAAGCTCTTTTACCTGTGATTCTGAACTCTCAATCCGGGTGAGAGAATAGAATAGGAGACAGGTTGGGAAGCTGCTCGTATTTTTTATCTGTTAATGAGTGACCTGACTGCTTGCGAGTATTAAAGTTAGATGCCCAGGATTTAGAGCTGGTTTCCTATTTTTATGATGGAGTCTTCATTGTAGTTGTAGATTATGAAAGCATTTTGTTTTCCGCACTTTTATTGCCATATCTCCTTCTCTATTCAACATGCCTGGCTCTCTAGATATTCGCTAAAGCAAATCTGAAATCCCTAAATATTGAAATTGCAGTGAAAGAAATATTTTCATACAGAGAAGTTGGCTAAACAACATTCTTTAAACGTTAGGAAAATGTTGTTTTATTATTTATTATTTTTTAAATTTTCTTTTTACCAAATAGATTTTTGATACAATTTTATTTTATGGGTCAGAGAACCAAAAATAATATTTTATCTATCATTTGTACTTTTAAAAGACATGGTAAAAGTTTTGAAAAATATGCAACATACATGGCTATCAAAGAAAGCTACTTTAAATTGTTTGGAGGCAGTCCTTCATGGAGGTGTGGTAAAGGTTAGATAATCTCTCAAAATTTCCTCTAGCTGTAAAGCCAAATATCCTATGGGCTCCCTAGAGATGTTTCCTAGTTCATTATTTTTTTTAACTTTAGTCACACCAAATCCTTTTCTTCTCTCATCAGCAATTTTTCAGCCTCGAATTATTCCCCATTTATAGGAAACACTCTAATGTCTGCATCTTTCTTCTGATTTCCTATTGGTTCTTATTCTTTTCTAAGTGCCTGCCATTTCTATGGATTTCCCACACATTCTTGCTTCTTTTCTCCTAATATGCAAAAGTTAATCCACTACATTTGTACAAGAAAGGAACAAACAGGAAGCTATTTCACAAAATTATGTTTGCTTTTGTCAGTGCACCTATAGAAGATAATCCCAAGTACTTTGCAAATAATGTTAGAAAAAACCTTCAAAATATATTTCTGCCTTTCAGTAAACAGTATAAATTTAGTCAAATATTAAACCTCATTATAATTATCTTACTTATAATCCCTCATGTGTTTTAACAGTTACTGAAAAAATTCTATTATTTCAATTCTGCAAAAGAAAGAAAAATGAATACATTTCTTTCATAGAAAATGGAAATTTTATCTGATGGAAAGAAGGGGCAAATAGAGAAAACACATTTTACAAATGAAAAAGGCTAGAAATGTGTGGCAACTTTGGAGAGAACTGGTATGAAGCCAACAGACCTCTGGGTTGATGGAGGAGAACCTGACTGTCAGTGTCACATTGATGAAACTAGAAGAAAAGAGAAAATTCACTTGGATACAATGTTTCTTCACATCTAAAAAGTGAGCTTATTTCAGGCAAAATAAAAATAAGACTTAAGAAAATGCATCACAAGAGAAGACAGAACTTTCAGTGGTCTAAATTCTTAGATACTTTAGAAGAAGACACTATTGGGTAAAATGAAGGAAGAATTGTTGAGTCTATTGGAAGAGTTTTTCTTATTCAGAGATTCAGGGGTGTGAAAAAGGAAAAAGTCTCAGTGCAACTGGAAACTAAAGGAACAATAACATTTGTCATCAAGTAAGTAATTTGGGATTTACTTTGAAAAAATTTAAAGGCTTAGGTAGAAGAAACTAAGCACATTATCTGATATAGCAGTGATAAAACTTCAAATATACCTCAGGTTAATATTTGATTGATGTATTATTTTTTCCTTTCCCAGTAGAGCTCCATGACATTGCCAGAGATGTGGGTTAGAAAGAGATCAGTAAGAGAACATCTCCAGCCTCATCTACATTCTAAGATGAGAACAAAATAATTACTACTATTTTAAAGAGGTTTTTATATCTCTTTAAAGACTTTGTGATTATAATGAGTTCATTTTTATCTTCCTCTCTTAAGTCAAAAAATTTCAGGAGCCATTTTCCTGGGTCAAGAGATATCCAAGTGGTGGTGCACTTAAAAATTGCCCCCTATTAACGCTGACTTGGGGTAGGAAAGGAAAGTTGTAACAGAATACGGATGTATTCTTCTCAACCAGAGAAGATGTAAGTTAGCAACATGTTCTAAATCCCCAGAAGAAAGAAATACGTTAATGATAAACTTAATTTTAAAAAGTGGTTAAGTCATAGTCCATAATATGCATGAATCCTTAATATTGAAGAGACCAGCAGCTAAGCTTCTATACAACTTCTGAGGTTTGGAAGAAGTACAACAGTACTCTCCTTCCAAGTATCTTTGGCTTGGTGAGAAAATTCTGAGCCGGAAGGATTCTGATTGCGATTAGTGTTCCATAGATTATTTTGTCTTTTGTCTGAAGTGATGCTGAATACAACCTCAGTCACCGAATTTCTCCTCTTGGGAGTGACAGACATTCAAGAACTGCAGCCTTTTCTCTTCGTGGTTTTCCTCACCATCTACTTCATCAGTGTGACTGGGAATGGAGCCGTTCTGATGATTTTCATCTCCGATCCTAGACTCCATTCCCCTATGTATTTCTTCCTGGGAAACCTGTCCTACCTGGATATCTGTTACTCTACGGTGACACTGCCAAAAATGCTGCAGAACTTTCTCTCTACACACAAAGCAATTTCTTTCTTGGGATGCATAAGCCAGCTTCATTTCTTCCACTTCCTGGGCAGCACGGAGTCCATGTTGTTGGCCGTGATGGCATTTGACCGCTGTGTGGCTATCTGCAAGCCACTTCGCTACACTGTCATCATGAACCCTCAGCTCTGTACCCAGATGGCCATCACAATCTGGGTCATTGGTTTTTTCCATGCCCTGCTGCACTCCATAATGACTTCTCGCTTGAACTTCTGTGGTTCCAACCGTATCCATCATTTTCTCTGTGATATTAAGCCATTGCTAAAGCTGGCCTGTGGGAACACTGAGCTTAATCAGTGGCTACTCAGTACTGTCACGGGGACAATTGCCATGGGCCCCTTCTTTCTGACACTTCTCTCCTATTTCTACATTATCACTTATCTCTTCTTCAAGACCCGTTCTTGTAGCATGCTCTGTAAAGCACTGTCCACTTGTGCCTCCCACTTCATGGTAGTTATTCTTTTCTATGCACCTGTTCTCTTCACCTATATCCATCCTGCGTTAGAGAGCTTCATGGACCAGGACCGGATTGTTGCCATCATGTACACTGTGGTCACTCCTGTACTAAACCCACTGATCTATACTTTGAGGAACAAGGAAGTGAAGGGGGCCTTGGGTAGAGTGATCAGAAGGCTTTGATTTGAATAAACCAGAGAACTCTTCTGAGGCATAAATAACCAGCAATGAAAAAGTAGAGATGTGTAATTTTACTGCTTCTCAGATGGTTTATAAGTGTAAAATAGAGGCAACTGGATAAAAGAAAAAAAAGTCCAATCTAGTTGTAGTAAACAATACATTTCTAAGTAATATGAGGAATACTTGAAAATGCAAGACACTAGCCATGGAACCCTAATGCTGAAAATTTTTTGGAATATCAGTTGATATAATTGACTTATTATGTATTCTAACATGTACTTGTATGCAATTGCATGTAGAATTTTGCCTATATTGCCCATGTATTGTATAGATAGATGATATTTAGGACTGTTTGTCTGTGAGATCCTTTTAGTTTAACACATTTTAGTCTGATCAATAAAATTATTATGCTTTTTTATTTTAAGGATTGTCATGTAGGGCTATGTTTATTCAATTGGAAAAGTAAATGCTAACTTGCATATTATTTAAATAAATTTTAAAGAGGTATGTCATGATTTCTTTTCAGTTCGGTTGGTTTTTGTTCTTTTAATGGTGATTCAAAATGCAAAAGACATAAAAAGATGTCAAATGTTTCTCCCCATCTCTGCCCTCCGTCACTGACTTACTCTTCATATACAATCAATGTAATCAGTTGTTATCTGTCCTCACAGAGATCCTTTATGCTACACAGTCAAATACAAATATTTTCTTTAAAAAAGAATGGCAATGAACAATACATGTTATATGAGCAAACCAATGTTGAGGGCAATGTGTATCTTGGAGATCTTTCCCTATTAGAACATAGAGCTTCTTTATTTTTTTAACATGCATGGTATATGCCACTTTGTTCATGTATTATATTTGATATATCAGTCTCCTATCATTGGACATCTATGTTATTTCCAATCATATGTTGCAGTGTATAATCTTGTGTACACGTCATTCTATATATGTGCAAGTCTATTTGTAGGACAAACTTTCAGACATGGAAATGTTAGGTCAAGAGATATCGTTATTGTAATTCAGATAGATACTGCCAAATTGCCCTCCCCAGAGGTTATAAAAAATTTCATCACCACTTGCAATGTAAAAGTGTTTAGATTTTACACTACATTGAATATGAATAATGCCAATGACTTATTTTGTAGATGCTTCCCTGAAAATATTCTACTTTTACAGCCTGGTTATGTAAAAAATGACATCCTAAAGACACTTTCCATAACATGGAAGTCTGCATAATTCTGCCATTGTTATAGAAAGTTTTCAGACTATTTGAAGCCCAAGCAAGATGGCAACTGGGAGAAAGGAAAAGCTAAGATTACAGCAATTCTTGTCATTGTTAGCTGGCACACAGGCAACATGAAGTGTTTTCCCCTACTTCAGCATAAAATACTTAAAACTTTCCTCTTACTACACCAACAGTTATTCATGTGAAAAATTAATCAATTGTGTTGTTTATTATTTTAATCAAAAAAAGCTCTACAGGTGTTAGATTTATGAAAGTCCTGCACAAAATAAAGGAAAGGTGCCCTAAAAGACCCACCGTTTAACTAAAGAAAATGAATCTCACACAGAGGACATGCTGCAGAGAGAATGAGCTACTGAAACACACTAGAATGTTTCATTTCTTTTATGACACAAAAAGAATAGGAAAGAGTGGAAAAAGGGAACAAACTTTTACTAAAAGTTGACAATTTTATTTTTACATTTTATAATACAAATGAAAAATGCTTTTTACTTGGTCCAGAGAGGCTAATAAGTAATTAAATTGAATGACATTGCAACCACTAATTAAGAGATAAAACAACCAATTGTTCAGCTAAGAGTTCTGGTACCTATATCTTCAGAGATGTTTTAGAAGTCAACTGGCCAGACTTCAAGGATTACTATGAAATACCATTAAAAGTGGAGCTAGGTAAAACAAACAAACAAACAAAAAACACCTCAAGAATCACTTTGTATCTCATTAGAGTGTTATAACCACTCGTATCTCTCCACCCTGGGTCATGAAAGATGATGACTTTAAACACTCTATTATTTTGGTTTCGTTTTCCTTTATCTGTCCTTATTTTGACAGACTGTAATGCATGTAATATGATGTAATACAGGTGAAATACAAAAAATTCATGAAAATGTATTTTTCTTTTCCTTTGGTACCAAACTCATACTAAGTGAAAACAATGAAATCATAATTGTGGAAGTATTTCTGGAGCTAATAGACAAGAATAGGTATGATGTTTCTTAGTTTCTAAGTACTTAGAAATGGATTCTGGCTCTGAAAAGATGTGGTATGCCAACATTTGTAACTATTTAGAGATACAAATAGACAAGACTATGGAAGCTATGTTGAGCGGGTGGGCTGACTATTCAAAACCTCTGCCTTCACTTTTGCAAACCCAAACGATCTGACCTCTCTCTGGTACTTCTTCTATCTTCCAAGTCAACCTTCTTTGGTCCTTCAGTTCCAGTTTTGTTGATGAGACAATGCCTGTGTGGAGAAGACACTATCCACCTGAACTATCTCAGACTATCACTTCTGTTGCTCAGAGTTTATTGCATAATCCCATCTACATGGAAGCTGTGAACTGTAGGAAAACACATGGGTTCTAGTTATCTACTGCTGCATAACAAATAGTAGCCTAAATCTAAATGGCTTAATTTATTTAATCAAATCCCAGGATTCTGTGGGTCAGAAATTGGGGAGGGCACAGCAGGAAAGGGTTGACTATGCTCAGTAATATCTGGATCTGCTCGCTCTCTCTCTCTCTCTCTCTCTCTCTTTCTCTCTCTCTCCAGTTTCTCAGTTGACTGTCATGTGCTTCTTTAACAGGGAAGCCTCGGGACAGACTTTTTCATGGGGGACAGCAAACCAAGACAAAAACTGTTAGTTGTCTCAAAGACAAAAACCAAGAACCAGCATTAACATAACTTCTATCATACTCTATTGGCCAAAGAAATCGCAGGCCAACTGAGCTTCTGTAACCTTCAATGGAAAGAGTGTCAAAAATTGTGTGGACATCCTTAATCTACCACAGTCCCATATCTAACCACTAATAATTCATGTTGTTCCCATATGCAAGGTACACTTACTCCTCTTCCTAATAATCTTAAAATCTCATCCCTTTATAGCATCAGCTCAAAGTCTAGGTTTTTAAAATCCAAATCATGGCAAAGTGCAAATGGGGCATATTTAGTATGATTCCTCAAGAATGGTTCCTTTTGACCTGAAGACCTTTGAACTTGAAGAAGTCAGGTTATCTTCCCGTCACACACTCAGCACATAATGATAAAGTAGATATAAGATGACAGTAATAGAAAATGTTACTCCAAAAGAGAAAAAATGGGAGGCACATAACAGTTACATAGCAATTGTGAAACCCATTTGGGGACATTTTTCTCACTCCGTCCTCTGGAGTCTAAGATGATGCAATTGAAACTGATGATACCAATAAAATTCTCTCTCTTCTTCTTCTTCTTCTTTTTTTTTTTTTTTTTTTTTTTAACACGGATCTCACTCTGTCACCCAGACTGGAGTACAGTGGGACGGTGCAATCTCGGCTCACTGCAACTTCCACCTCCCAGGTTCAAGTGATTCTCTCAACTGAGCCTCCCAAGTAGTTGGGATTACAAGCATGTGCCACCATGCCCGGCTAAATTTTGTACTTTTAATAGAGACAGGGTTTCCACCGTGTTGCGCAGGCTGGTCTCAAACCCCTGATTTCATGTGATCCACCCACATGAGCCTCCCAAAGTGCTGGGATTACAGATCTGAGTCACTGTGCCTGGCCCACCAATAAAATTCTTTTTAAAATATTTTAGGTTCTTAGGATTCTTATTTGGGTTTAGTCAATTAGATAAGTACCACACTCATACATCTCCTTAGGACAGGCCTTTCTCTGACTTGGGCTGACAATTACTGTACTGTGAGACAACACCCTTGAGATTTCTGTCTGTCTGTCTTCATGCCAGTAGAATACTGTTTTATTTACTGTACCTTTGCAACATCTTGGGAAGTCAAGAAGAGTGATACCATCTGCTTTGCTATTCTTTCTGAAGATCACTTGGGCTATTTGAGGTCTTTCTTGAATAGTTTTTTCCATTTCTGTAAAAAATGCCTTTGGGATTTTGATAGTGATTGCATTGAATTCATAGACAAGTTATGGTAGTGTGGACATTTTACAATTTTAATTCTTCTAAGCCCTGAACATAGGTTATGTTTCTATTTATTTGAGTCTTCTTCAATTCCTTTCATCAATGTTTTTACAGTTTCCAGTGTACAAGTCATTCACTTCCTTGGTTAAGTTTATTGCTAAGCATTTTATTCTTTTTTATGCTATTTTAAATGAAATTGTTTTGGTTCTTCCTTTTCTGATAGCTCAGAAAAGCTAGATTGTTAATGTATAGGAATGCAATTGATTTTGTATGTTAATTTTATATTCAATTTGAATGCCTTCCATTTAATTAAAATAGTATAGTACTGAGATAAAGACAGACATACAAGCCAATAGAACAGAATGGAGAGTCCAGAAATAAATGCACATATAGATAGTAAACTGATCTTGGACAAGATTGCTGAGAACACACAATGGAGAAAGAATAGTCCCTTCAATAGATGGTGTAGAATAAACTACATAGAGAAGAATGAAATTGGACCCTATCTCATACTATATACAAAATCAACTCAAAATGGATTAAAGATTTAAATGTAAAACTCCTAGAAGAAAAAAAATAAGGAGATAACTTCTTGATGTTGGTCTTGACAATGATTTTCTAGATTTGAAACAACAAAATAAAAAATAGACAAGCAGGACTATGTAAAGCTAAAAAGCTTCTTCACAACAAAGGAAATGATCAACAGAGTGAAAAGTCATCCTATGAAGCGGGAGAAAATATTTCAAACCATCTATCTGATAGGGGTTAATATCTAAAATACATAATAATCTTCTCAACTCAATAATATATACACACACACACACAACTTAAAATTGACAAAATAATTGAATAGGTATTTCTTTAAAGAAGACATATAAATGGCCAACAAGTATATAAAAACGTACTCAATACCACTAACCATCAGAAAAAGGCAACCATAGTCAGATATCACTTAACATATTTTAGGATGGTTATTATAAAAAAAAAAGTGTTGGTGTGAATGTGGAGAAACTGGATCCCTTATACACTGAATATAGAAATTGCAGCCACTATGCAAAATGGTATGAAAATTCCTTTAAAAATTAAAAATAAATCTACAATCTGATCCAGCAATTTCTCTTCTGGGTGTATAGCCAAGAGAATTGAAATCAGGGCCTTGAAGAAATATGTGCAACACTCTGTTTATTTTGAAATTTTTTACAGTAGACAAAATACAAAAACAACCCAAGTATTCATTGGCAGATGAATGGATAAAGAAAATGAATATATACATGAATATTATTTAACCTTTAAAAGAAGGTGATCCTGCCAATTATTACAATATGGACAAACCTAGAGGATATCATGATAAGTAAAATAAGACAGTCTCAAAAGGACAAATGTTGCATGGCCATGCTTAAACGGTATCTAAAATGGTCAACCTCATAGAAATACAAAATAGAATGGTGATTATAAAGGAATGTGTAGAGGGGGAGATGGGGAATTGTTTATCAGTGGGTATGGTATAAAGTTCCTGTTATGCAAGATAAATAAGATCTAGAGATCTGCAGTACAACATATTACCTATAACTAGAAAATAGTATTTTGCACTTTAAAATATGTTAACAAGACTATAGATCTCATCATAAGTGCTTTTACAGAAACAAAAACAACACAAAAGAGCATGAGGACATTTTTGGAGGTGGTGGATATGCTTACTACCCTGGTTGTGGTGATGATAGTATGTGTACATATGCCCAAACTCATCACGATGTATACATTAAAGACATATAATTTTTTTATGTCAATTGTACCTCAATAAAGCTAAAATAAGATTTCTGGAAACATTTTTGCCTCTAGCTGGAAATGTTGACAAGGCATGTCCATAAGACTCATAGTGACCTCTGTGTCTAACATAGAGGGCTTAAGAGGCCTGTCTTAAGATTTTTAGAAACTATTCTAGGCTTCCCCATTATCTTTCTGAGCTTTCAACAATGGGTATTATAGTCACATCCTTGGGATCTTTACCTAAAAACCATACTTCACTAACAGCACCTTGGAATATGATCTTTGCCCTGAAGCCATTTCTTACTTTGAGAAACTTCTACCATCTAGACTATTTAGCACTAATATACAGTTTAATTTTTTGATCCTAGGAAGTCCTGGAATCTAGTTTTCCTCTAAATACTGATTGAAAATTGAATGCCTTGTTTTTTAGTTCATCTTACATCTGCCCTATTTTGTAATAGTCAGCTAAAAGAATCTGTTGGAACTTTCACTATTTTGATGGTTTTTATGTCAGCTTGACTGAGGATGTCCACACTTTATTTAATTGAGCAGTTTTCTGGATGTGTCAGTGAGGAAGTTTTTAGATGAGACTAACATTTGAATTGATAGATTGAGTAAAGCAGATTATCCTCCCTAATGTAGGTGGCCATCATCCAATCAATATTCTGTTGACTCTGTTTCTCAGAAGAACCCTGACTACTACAATCATTCTTCCTAGTAAGCACCTTAGCAACATCTGGGTTCAATAGATATCCTTTCTATCTTCTTTGTTACTGTGGATAGTACATGTCTACTGTACTACATATTACTATAGATAGTGGATGTCTCTCTTGACCGCCAGGCCAACAATTAGAGTTAAATCCCCATAAATTAATTAGGGTTGTGCTAGAGATGTTAAAATAGAAAAGAGATTAAACTGACAGGAGTGCAAATAGTAGTTACAATGTGCCAGCAGGAGTACCATGGGATTGAATTTTGAGTGTGCATGATCAAGGGACTAGAACACTAAACTGGATAAATGAGAATATATTAACTAGGGGACATTGAGTTCTTAGACACGGAATCTGGGGCTTAAGTAAATGTGCTGCTAGTGTGGCTCTTACAAGCACAGGGAAGGCATCGGCCCATGATGATCAAAGTTAAAATTACTGAGTTGCCCTGACAGATGGTATGGAAAGGAATAAAGAGACTCAGGAAAGTGGGGGTATTGGAAGAATATACTATATGTAGGTCAGAAAAGCCACCAGAATATTATGTTCCACAAGAGTACTCAGAGGAGACACACCATTCACAATTCAGAATGCTCTGGCAGAGGCGTTCTGGAATTACTAAGAAATTCAGTGGTGACTCTTTGTAGACCAGGGATAATGGTTACAGAAGTAATCACAGAGTTTGAATTGCTGGAGAAAAGGGGCCTACAGCAATAAAAATATATGGTAGCATTGAACCACTGGAAGCTAGTAGTTGGCAATTGCTGTAATCATCAGTGAGTCAAAAAGGTAGCCAAGTAGTCTTGACCTACAGGAAGCTGTGGTGATGGTTAATATAACATGTGTCCCTAAAGACGAAATTACAGGACAGCTGATGAGGTTGCTGCTTAAAAACTACAATCAAAAGAAGGCAAGAGTAGAGGAACAGGACACTGAGGGTGGTCTCTCTAATAAAATGGCCTAATTTCCTGCTCAGTTCACAGACGCAAGCTAATATTTAGGTGCATAACTTATTACCTGAACATTTAGTCATGTCCTCCAGAAAGAAGTGAACTTCAACATTGTGGTAAGCATTTACTGGAAAGACACCTATAGTTTTTCCCGAGAGGGAGCTAACATTATTTATGCAAATTACTGCACACTGGGAAAGGGGGAATACCCAAATATTTCAAGTACAGTTGTCTGAGTTGACACTGATACTCCAAGAGCCAAAGCATCACCATGGCCCAACTGTTACAATGAGCATACAGAAGCCAGATTACGAATGGAGTCATGTTAAAGTTTAGCTTACAGTACGTCACCCAGTACTGTAGGCACATCCAATAGTCGTTCCCACAGTCACTGGCTATACGATTAGGACTGATATACTTGGCAGTAAGAGAAGCCTCTACATCAGTCCTTGGCCAGTGGGAAATGCGCTATCGTACTGGATAATGCCAACTGGAAGCTTTGAAACTGCCCCATCTGGCAAGGATATTAAACTAACAACAATATCACATCCTGGGAAGGATAGCCAAGATTAGTGCCCCCTTAAATATCTAAAGACTGAAAGATCACTTGCAAAAAACAGATAAATCCTGAATAGCTGCAGACTAGTAGTCTTGATCACAGCTGTCATGTCAGACATGGTATCATTGCTAGAACAAGTTAACAGGGCTTCAGGTAAATGGTTTTTGTCCATTGATATGGCAAATGCATTCTTGTTTCTTGGGAGCATCCCAAGAGTGACTGTTTCAGGAGATCTATTAAGAAGTTGTAAGGTTTCTTTTAACGTACCTTCGAAGTTCCAGAACATCATTTTTGTTGCATTCTATTGGTGAAGTCACTGTGCCAGCCCAGGTTCAAGAAAAATGAACCACACAGGGCATCAATGCTGAGAGGCATGGTTCACTTGGCATCCATGTGTCTAGACTAGCTACCACATTGACTTGAGACTCATTTTGATAGTCCCGTCTGAAGATTAATGTATTTGTTTTTACCTAGCAAAAACATACATGGTGCATTGTATGTGTCAGACCCTATTCTAAGTACTTTATACATATTAGCTCATTTAATCATCGTAACAACCTTTATTCTTATTTTACAGATGAAGAAATACAGGAACAGAAATGTTAAGTCATTTGCCCAAAGTTTTTCCGACAGTGATTAGCAATGATAGATGTAAGCCCAAGCAGAATGGCTACAGTCATTTTCTTGAAAATTACACTGTGCTTTCTCAGCTGTTACATCTTTAAATACAGACCATTCTCTTTGTGCTCTTTTTCTGGACCTCCTTTCTAACAGATGTGCTGGGAAGTTCACAACGTATTTCCTGCAATCAGGCAAGAGAAAGAAATAAAGAGTATTCAATTAGGAAAAGAGGAAGTCAAATTGTCTCTGTTTGCAGATGACATGATCGTATATTTAGAAAATCCCATCATCTCAGCCCAAAATCTCCTTAAGCTGATAAGCAACTTCAGCAAAGTCTCAGGATACAAAATCAATTTGCAAAAATCGCAAGCATTCCTATACACCAACAACAGACAAACAGAGAGCCACATCATGAGTGAACGCTCATTCACAATTGCTACAAAGAGAATAAAATACCTAGGAATACAACTTACAAGTGATATGAAGGACTTCTTCAAGGAGAACTGCAAACCAATGCTCAAGGAAATAAGAGAGGACACAAACAAACAGAAAAACATTCCATGCTCATGCATAGGAATAATCAATATCGTGAAAATGGCCACACTGCCCAAAGTAATTTATAGATTCAATGCTATCCCCATCAAGCTACCATTGACTTTCTTCACAGAATCAGAAAAAACAACTTTAAATTTCAAATGGAACCAAAAAAGAGCCTGCATAGCCAAGACAATCCTAAGCAGAAAGAACAAAGCTGGAAGCATCACACTACCTGACTTCAAACTATACTACAAGGCTACAGTAACCAAAACAGCATGATACTGGTACCAAAACAGATATATAGACCAACGGAACAGAACAGAGGCCTCAGAAATAACACCACACATCTACAACCAACTGATCTTTGACAAACCTGACAAAAACAGGCAATGGGGAAATGATTCCCTATTTAATAAATGGTGTTGGGAAAACTGGCTAGCCAGATGTAGAAAGCTGAAACACGATCCCTTCCTTACACCTTATACAAAAATTAACTCAAGATGGATTAAAGACTTAAACATAAGACCTAAAACCATAGAAACCCTAGAAGAAAACCTAGGCAATACCATTCAGGTCATAGGCTTGGGCAAAGACTTCATGACTAAAACACCAAAAGCAATGGCAACAAAAGCCAAAATAGACAAATGGGATCTAATTAAACTAAAGAACTTCTGCACAGCAAAAAAAACTATCAGCAGAGTGAACAGGCAACCTACAGAATGAGAGAAAATTTTTGCAATCTATCCATCTGACAAAAGGCTAATATCTAGAATCTACAAAGAACTTAAACAAATTTACAAGAAAAAAGCAACCCCATCAAAAAGTGAGCAAAGGATATGAACAGAAACTTCTCAAAAGAAGACATTTATGCAGCCAACAAACATATGAAAAAAAGCTCATTATCACTGGTCATTAGAGAAATGAAAATCAAAACCAAAATGAGATACCATCTCACGCCAGTTAGAATGGTGATCATTAAAAAGTCAGGAAACAACAGATGCTGGAAAGGACATGGAGAAATAGGAACACTTTTACACTGTTGGTGGGAGCGTAAATTAGTTCAACCATTGTGGAAAACAGTGTGGCGATTCCTCAAGGATCTAGAACTAGAAATATCATTTGACCCAGCAGTCCCATTACTGGGTATATACCCAAAGGATTATGTATCATTCTACTATAAAGACACACACATGTATGTCTATAGCAGCACTGTTCACAATAGCATTGACTTGGAACCTACCCAAATGCCCATCAATGATAAACTGGATAAAGAAAATATGGCACGTATACACCATGGAATACTATGCAGCCATAAAAAGGGATGAGTTCATGTCCTTTGCAGGGACATGGATGACACTGGAAAGCATCATTCTCAGCAAACTATCACAAGAACAGAAAACCAAAACAGAGAACCGCTTGTTCTCACTCATAGGTGGGAGTTGAACAGTGAGAACACATGCACACAGGGAGGGGAACATCACACCCCAGGGCCTGTCAGGGGGTGGGAGGGTAGGGAAGGGGTAGCATTAGGAGAAATACCTAATGTAGATGACGGGTTGATGGGTGCAGCAAACCACCATGGTACATGTATACCTATGTAACAAACCTGCACGTTCTGCACAGGTACCCCAGAACTTAAAGTATAATAATAAAAAAAAGGAAGTTAAAAAAAATTACTAAGAGTTTCAAGACAGTGACCACAAAGCATTAAATCAAACATAGGGCCCTTCTGAGTGCAGGGTCCTTTGTGACTGCATGGGTCGCAGGCCCATGAAGCTTCCTTTGTAATAAAAGAAAATTTAAAACAAATAATATGTACAATCACAAAGAGACAATACATAAAGAAGAAAATTGCTGATCATGACTTCATTAAAATAGCGAATGGCTAGTCAACTAAGAAAATTGTAGATAAAATTAAGATGAATAATATTTGAAAGAGCACAATACAGTGATCACTAGAACTAAGGAGCCTCAGTTTGAGTCCTGGTTTCACAATATATCACAAGAAGAAAAATTTACTTAAATCCTTTGAGCCTCAGTTTTCTTGTGATATAAGATAAATGACTGTATTACTTACTTCATTGGGTTTTTGTGAGAATTAAGAGAGCTAATAGATGTAAAGAACTTAGAACAATACCTTACACATAATAAGCATGCAATAAATAGTATTCATTTGTATTATATTCACAGTGTATAAAATAACAAGAAGTTGAGGGCTGGCCAAGATGGCCAACGAGAAGCACCTATTGTGCACCGCTGTCACAGAGCAAAATAGAAGAGGCAAGTAAATACAGTATCTTCAACTGAACTGGGTACGTGCATTGGGATTCATCAAGAAAACAACCCAACCCACAGAGAACAGAGAAAAGCAAGGCAGGACAACCACCCACTTGGGAATGACATGTAGCCAGGGTAGCCTCCCCTGCCCAGAGAAGTGGTGAGTGAGTGAGCGACCTTGGGAACCCATACTTTTCCCACAGAACTTTGCAACCCTCAGGTCAGGAGATCCCTCATGAACTCACTCCACCAGGGCCTTCAGTCTGACATGCAAAGCTATGTGGAGTCTCGTCAGAGCATCCACTCAGGCACACTGGAAGCCACAGGAGCTTTAGATACCCAGGCTTCCCAGCAAAAGTAACTGCAACTCTGGCAAACTGGGAGGTTAGACACCCCCCCCCATATATACCCCTAGAAAACGGTCTAAATCCACGGGGCTGAGCAATGACTATCTGCAAGCCCCATTTCCATGGAACATCACAGGATAAGACCCAATAGCTTTGAACTCTAGGCTGCCATGGGTAGCAACATTATACCTCCCTGAGATGGAGATCTCAGAGGGAGGCTTGGGCTGCCTTCTTTGCTGTTTCATAGCCTTAACCATTGGTGCCTTCAGGCTCTGGGGAATCTGAGGTGACTAGGGACTGGAGTGGTACCCCAGCACAACATAGCAGCTCTACAAAGAGATGGCCAGACCACTTTTTCATGTGGGTCTCAGATCCCATTTCTGTTTACTGGGAGGAATCCCCTGACCGAGGTCTACAACCACTTCTGCTGGTGTTTTCCGGCCAGTAGCAATCCCAAACCTCCCTAGCAGAGCTCCCAGAGGAGGGGTAGGCCTCCATCTTTACTGTTTTGCAGGCTTAGCCATTGTCACTTTTGGGCTTTGGAGAGCTGGAAGCAACTGGGGGCTGGAGTAGACCCCAAAGACAGCATAGCTGCTCTATGAAAAAGTGGCCAGACTGCTTTTTAATGCACCTCCTGATCCTGTTTTTCCTCACTGAGTGGGAACTTCTGGGATCCCCAGCCAACCCTGCCAGTGTGTTTGGGCTGGTAACAGGTCCATTCCTTCCTGGAGCAGAGCTCCCAGAGGGAGGCGCAGGCCGCCATCTTTGCTGTTTGACAAACTTCACTGTTGATACCATCAGGTACTGGAAAATCTGAAGTGACTAGGGACTGGAGCAGATCCCCAGAATATGGTAGCAGCTCTATGGAAAAGTGGTCAGACTGTATGTTATGTGGGTCCCCAATCCTGTATCTTCTCCTGGGGCAGATCCTCCCAGCCTAGTCTCCAGTCACCCTTACACTGGGACTATTGAGCCAGTAGCAGTTCTGCAATGCCCTGGGACAAAGCTCCCAATGGAAGGGGTGGGTTGTCATCTTTGCTTTCTCACAGTCTTCATCCTTGTGTCCCCAGGCCCTGGAGAGTCTGTGGGACCAAGGGCTGGTTGGGACCCATAACACAGAGCATCCACGTCATAGAAAAGTGGCTGAACTGTTCTCCATGCAGATCCTGATCCTCACTTCTCCTCACTGGGCAAGGCCACATGACCTGGGACTCCAGCACAATCACCCAGCTGCCACCTGACCACTTCAATCAGAGGCAGTTCTTCAGTTAAAGGAACACTCACACACAGAGATGAGAAAAAAAAAAAAAGAACTCTGGCAACTCAAATGGTCAGAGTGTCTTATGTCCTCCAAATGATCACTCTAGTTCTTCAACAAGAATTCTTAAGCAGACTGAGATGGCTGAAATAACAAATAGAATTCAGAATATGGATAGGAATGAAGATAATTGAGATTCAGGAGAATGGCAAAACCCAATCCCAGGAAGCTAAGAATCACAATAAAACGATACAAGAGGTGACAGACAAAACAGCCAGTATAAAAACAACCTAACTGACCTGATAGAGCTGAAAAACTCACTAAAATAATTTTTCAATGCAATCACAAATATTAATAGCAGAGTAGACAAAGCTGAGGAAAGAATCTGAGAATTTGAAGACAGGCTTTCTGAAATAAGAGAGTCAGACAAAAATAAAGAATAAAAGGAAAAGGAATGAACAAAACCTCTGTGAAATATGAGATTATGTAAAGAGGCCAAATCTACAAATCACTGGTATCCCTGCAAGAGAGGGGGAGAAAGCAAACAACTTGGAAAACATATTTCAGGATATCAACCATGAAAACTTCCCCAATCTTGCTAGAGAGGCCAATAGTCAAATGCAGGAAATACAGAAAACCTCTGCAAGATTCTAGACAAGAAGATCATCCCCAACACACAAAATCATCTTATTTTCCAAGGACAAAATGAAAGAAAGAATGTAAAAGGCAGCTTGAGAGAAAGGGCAGGTCACCTACAAAGGGAACCGTATGAGGCTAACAGTGGACCTCTCAGCAGAAATGTTGAAAGCCAGAAGAGATTGCAGGTCTATATTCGATATTCTTAAAGAAAAATTTCTTTAACCAAGAATTTTATATCCAGCCAAACTAAGCTTTCTCTGTGAAGGAGAAATAAGATCTTTTCAGACAAGTAAACATTGAGGGATTGTATTACTAGACCCACCTTACAAGAGATCTTGAAAGGAGTACTAAATATGAAAAGAAAACACCATTACCAGCCAATACAAAAACACATTTAAGTACACAGACCCGTGACACTATAAAGCAACCAGACAAACAAGTAGGCATAATAACCAGCTAACAACAAAAAGACAGGATTAAATCTACATATATCAATACAAACATTGAAAGTAAACAGGCTAAATGTCCCAATTAGAAGGCACAGAGTGGCAAGCTGGGTAAAGAAGCAAAATCCAATTGTATGCTGTCTTCAGGAAACCCATCTCACATGCAATGACACCCATAGGCTCAAAATAAAGGGATGGAAAAAATCTGCCAAGTAAATGAAAATCAGAAATAAGAAGGGGTTGCAATTCTAATTTCAGAGAAAAACAGACTTTAAACTAACAAAAACGAAAAAAGACAAGGAAGGGCATTATCTAATGATAAAGGATTCAATTCAACAGGAAGATCTAGATATCCTAAATATATATGCACCCACAGCAGGAGAATCCAGATTCATAAAGCAAGTTCTTAGAGACCTACAAAGAGACTTAGATGCCCACACAATGGGAGTCTCCAGTAGGGTATTTCAACACTCCCCTGACAGTACTAGACAGATCATCAAGGCAGAAAATTAACAAAGATTTAAACAAAGATTGAACTCAACATTGGATCAAATAGATCTGATAGACCTCAGAACTCTCCACCCCAAAACAACAGAATGTGCATTCTTCTCATCAACACAGGCACGTACTCTAAAAATAGACCCCACAATTGGACATAAAACAATCCTCAGCAAATGCAAAAGAACTGAAATCATACCAAACACATTGGTGGACAACAGCTCAATAAAAATAGAAATCAAGACTAAAAAAATCACTCAATCCATGCAATTACATGGAAATTAAACAACTTACTCTTTAATGAATTTGAGGTAAGTACTGAAATTAGTGCAGAAATCAAAATGTTCTTTGAAACTATTGAGAATGAAGATACAACATACCAGAATCTCTGGGGCACAGCTAAGGCAGCATTAAGGGGGAAATTTGTAGCACTAAATGCCCACATCAAAAAGATACGAAGATCTCAAATTAACAACCTAACATCATAAGTAAAAGAACTAGAGACAGAAGACAAAACCAACCCAAAAGCTAGCAGAAGACAAGAAATAACCAAAATTAGAGCTGATCTGAAAGAAATTGAGATGAGAAAAACCATACAAAAGATAAACGAATCCAGGAGTTTGTTTTTTGGGAGAATTAATAAGATGAATAGACTCCTAGCTAGATCAATAAAGAAGGAAAGAGAGATGATCCAAATAAACACAATCAGAAATGACAAATGGGATGCTACCATTGACCCCACAACAATACAAATAATCATCAGAGACATGATGAATCATGAACACATATGCACATGAACTAGAAAACCTCGATGAGATGGATAAATTTCTATACACATACATCCTCCCACGTCTGAACCAAGAAGAAACTGATTCTGTGAAGAAACCAATAACGAGCTCTGAAATTGAATCAGTAATAAATAGCCTACCAAACAAAGGGGGAGTGACTCCTCCCCAACTCATTCTATGAGGCCAGCATCATCCTGATACAAAAACCTGAAAGAAACACATACATGAAAGGAAAACTTCAGGCCAATATTCTTAATGAACATAGATGCAAAAATTCTCAACAAAATGCTAGCAAACTGAATTCAGCAGCACATCAAAAAGCTAATACAAAATGATTAAGTAGGCTTTATCCCTGGGATACAAGGTTGGTTCAACATTTGCAAATTAATAAATGTGATTCATCACATAAACAGAACTAAAAACAAAACTCACATGATTATCTCAATAGATAACAGAAGAGGCTTCCAATTAAGTTCAACATTGCTTCATATTAAAAATTCTCAATAAACTAGGTATTAAGGAAAATACCTCAAAATAGTAGGAGCCATTTATGACAAATCCAAAGCCAACATCATACTGAATAGACAAAAGCTGGAAGCATTCCTCTGGAAAACCAGCACAAGACAAGGATGTCCTCTCTCAGCACTCCTATTCAACATAGCATTGGAAGTCCTGGCTAGAGCAATTAGGCAAGAGAAAGAAATAATGGGCATTATAGGAAGAGAGTAAGTAAAACTATTCCTGTTTGCAGATGACATGATTCTATATCTAGAAAACCCCATAGTCTTGGTCAAAAAGCTCCTTCAGCTGATACACTATTTCAGCAAAGTTTCTGGATACAAAATCAATGTACAAAAGTCACTAGCATTCCTATACAGCAACAACAGTCAAGCTGAGAGACAAATCAGGAACACAATCCCATTCACAATTGCCAAAGAAAGAATATAATACCAAGAAATGCAGCTAACAAGGCAGGTGAAAGGTCTCTACAATAAGAACTACAAAACACTACTCAGAGAAATCAGAGATAATACAAACAAATGGAAACAGATTTCTTGTTCATGGGTAGTAAGAATCATATTGTTTAAATGGCCATACTGCCCAAAGCAATTTACAGATTCAATGCTATTTCTATCAAACTACCAAAGACATTCTTGGTAGTTTCTAAACTAAAGTTTAGAATACTAGAATAAACAAGTTTATTCTAGAAAAACACTTTAAAATTCATGTGAAACCAAAAAAGAACCTGAATAGCCAAGCAATTCTAAGCAAAAAGAACAAATTTGGAGGCATCATGTTACCCTACTTCAAGCTATACTACAGAGCAACAGTAGCCAAAACAGGTTTCCTGAAAAATACCAGGGTATTCTTTCAGGAAAGTCCCAAAAATGGGAAAGTAAATCCATATCTCTGTCCTAGGAAATAAAAAGAAATTTGACTAAGAAAACATATTAAGCCATTGAGACCTGTGTTGGCCATAGTTCTAAAACTAAGGAACAAACTTAGTAAGGAAAAAAAAAAAACAAGAATGAAAAAAACAAATGAAACTTCACACAGGAATTCCCCAAGGCCACTGATTCATATTACAGGTGTGGAAAGGCATCCTGCTAATTCCTAAAATCTTTCTCAACACCAGGGGACACTCTCCCTTTGGATTTCTATGTCTAGAGACCTGTGGCTCATTAAAAGGCAGACTGATTTTTCAGAAAGAGAGAAAGAGGTTTTTAAAGATGAGTTTATGCTGCAATCCCAACATGAACTATTACTTCAAATATGTTTTAACTTTTATAATCACTGGGAATATAAACATGAATAGCTTCCTTAACTGTGAATCAGAACACTCAATCAGGTAAGAGAATGAACTAGGAGACAGGCTGTGAAGTTACACATAATCTCAATATGTTAATGAATGATCTATCTACTTGCTAGTATTAAACACCCAGTATCTAGATCTCATTTTCTATCTAATGGTGGACTCCTCATTGTGTTTGTGAGATATGAAGGCCCTTGACTTACCATGTTTTTATTGCCATACCTTGTTCTCAATTCAACATATCTAGTTCTCTAGACATTATCCAAAGCAAACATGTGATTTCTAAATGGTGAAATTTCAGTGAAGGAAACGATTTACTACAGACCACTCTGACTGCTAATTTTCTCAGAAGCTAGGAATATATGTTTTACCATATGGATTTTTGGGACAATTTTGTTTTCTGGGTCCAAGAACCAAAAATTATATTTGAAATATAATTTGTATTTTAAACAGGAGTGGTAATTTTTAAATATACAAAATATACATGGTCATTCAAGAAAGTTATTGTGAATTATTTGAAGGCAGTCCTTCATGGAGGTATAGTAAAAGTTAGATTGTTTTTCAAAATTTCTTCCCAGCTATGAAGCCAAAAAACCCATGGGCTCTCTAGAAGTGTTCCCTTGTTCATTATTTTTTTTTACCCTAGTCACATCAAATTATATTCTTTTCTCCTCAGTGGTTTCTAAAACCTTGAATGATACTCCTTTTATAGGAAGCACTCCAATGTCAGCATCTCTTTTCAATTTCTTTACAGTTCTACTAGCTCTCTCAGTGCCTCTCACTTCTGTAAGTTCCCCACACATCCTGACTTCTTCCCTCCCAATATACAAGAGCTAATCCATTACAGCCTAATGAAAAGAACAAAGAAGCTACTTCACAATATTATGTCTGCTTTTATTAGTAAACCTAATGAAGATAATACCAGTACTTTGCAAATTATGGAGAAAAAATTTTTCTAGAAAATGTAATGGATCTAGAAGAGAAGAAGGTGAATTTCACTTGAGGTAGAATATTCCTTAATATCTGATGAGTGAGTTTATTTCAGGCAAAATAAAAACAGAACTTAAGAAAATAGATCACAAGAGAAGACAATTTCAAGAAGGCTGAATATATATTTTGAGGAGAGGTTAGTATTGGTGAAAAAAGAAGAGAAACTACTGAATCTATCAGAGGAAATACTATTCTTATCCAGGGATTCACAGATTTCCTAGGAAAGAAAGAGTCTAAGATCAACTGGTGAATAAAAGCACAATAACATTTGCAATGAAAAAAATAATTTGGGATTCTATTTCAAAAAATGTATAAAGGGTCAGATTATAGGAAGAAACTGAGCTCATCATCAGATATAATAGTGATGAAATTTTAAATATTCAGGCTAATATGTGATTAATGTGGTCATGTTTCTTACCCCAGTAGGTCACTGCGACATTTCAGGGATGTGGGTCAGGAAGAGATCAGTAAGAGAATATCTCTAATTCATTTACATTCTAAAATGAGGAAATGCAATTACTACTACTCTTTCAAGATTTAAAAAAAAAATCGTGGTTTTGATGCATTGAAACCTGTCTTTTTATTTAAGTTAACATCCTACTGGTGGTTTCTTACTAGGCCAAGAGATAGCTATGTGGTATGCTTAAAAATTGCCCCCTGTGAGAGCTGCTTGGGAAGATGAAAGGAAAGCTGTGACCGAATGAAGATATTCACAGGCCCAGAGATGTGGCTAATGCCTGTAATCGCAGCACTTTGGGAGGCCGAGGCAGGCAGATAACTTGAGGTCAGGAATTCAAGACCAGCCTGGCATACACGGTGAAACCCCATCTCTATTAAAAATACAAAAATTAGCCAGGTGTGGTGGTGGACTCCTGTAATCCCAGTTACTTGGGAAGCTGAGGCGAGAGACTCTCTTGAACCCAGGAGGCGGAGGTTGCAGTGAGCCAAGATCACACCACTGCACTTCAGCCTGGGAGAAAGAGTGAGAATCTCAAAAAAAAAAGAATGAAAATATTCACAGCCAGAGAAGACTGTAGGCTAGCAACGTTTTCTGATTCCTGGGAGAAAGAAATATATTAATGAAAAACATAATAAAAAAATAGTTGTGTCAGAGATCATAACAGATATATATATATATATCTTTAATATTTAGCCATCTAAAAGCCAAAAATGTAAAACTTGTGAGGTTGAATCATGCAAAACAACAATACTCTCCCTCCAGATATTCTTGGCTTGGTAAGAAAATTCTGAGCTGGAAGGATTCTGATTGTGATTAGTGTTCCATACATTATTTTGTCTTTTGTCTGAAGCAATGCTGAATACAACCTCAGTCACTGAATTTCTCCTTTTGGGAGTGACAGACATTCAAGAACTGCAGCCTTTTCTCTTCGTTGTTTTCCTTACCATCTACTTCATCAGTGTGGCTGGGAATGGAGCCATTCTGATGATTGTCATCTCTGATCCTAGACTCCATTCCCCTATGTATTTCTTCCTGGGAAACCTGTCCTGCCTGGACATCTGCTACTCCAGCGTAACACTGCCAAAAATGCTGCAGAACTTCCTCTCTGCACACAAAGCAATTTCTTTCTTGGGATGCATAAGCCAACTCCATTTCTTCCACTTCCTGGGCAGCACAGAGGCCATGTTGTTGGCCGTGATGGCATTTGACCGCTTTGTGGCTATTTGCAAGCCACTTCGCTACACTGTCATTATGAACCCTCAGCTCTGTACCCAGATGGCCATCACAATCTGGATGATTGGTTTTTTCCATGCCCTGCTGCACTCCCTAATGACCTCTCGCTTGAACTTCTGTGGTTCTAACCGTATCTATCACTTCTTCTGTGATGTGAAGCCATTGCTAAAGCTGGCCTGTGGGAACACTGAGCTTAATCAGTGGCTGCTCAGTACTGTCACAGGGACAATCGCCATGGGCCCCTTCTTTCTCACATTACTCTCCTATTTCTACATTATCACCCATCTCTTCTTCAAGACTCATTCTTTTAGCATGCTCCGCAAAGCACTGTCCACTTGTGCCTCCCACTTCATGGTAGTTATTCTTTTGTATGCACCTGTTCTCTTCACCTATATTCATCATGCCTCAGGGACCTCCATGGACCAGGACCGGATCACTGCCATCATGTATACTGTGGTCACTCCAGTACTAAACCCACTGATCTACACTTTGAGGAACAAGGAAGTGAAAGGGGCCTTTAATAGAGCAATGAAAAGGTGGCTTTGGCCTAAAGAAATCTTGAAGAACTCTTCTGAAGCATAAATAAACAATTAAAAAGATGAGTTTGTAATTACATTGTTTCTTAAATTATTTAGAAATGTACAACAGAGGGAACTGGATAAAACAAAAATATATGGAAAAATATGCTGTAGTTGTATTTAACAATGCTTTCCTGGATTATATAAGGGACATTTGAATGAATGGGATACTAGCCATGGAACTCTACTGCTGACTATGTTTTGAAGATATCAGTTGATAAAATTGATGTTAGGTTTTTTATATGTTCTTATGATGAAATTGGGTATAGAAATATGCCTGTTTTTCCCATATATCAAATATATGGATAATACTTGGGTCTATTTATCTATCTGGTCCCTCTAGGTTAATGCATTATAATATTATAAATAAAATTATTATGCTTTGATGTTTTGAGGATTTTACTTTAGGGCCATAGTTACTCAACTGGAAAAGAATATGCTAACTGACGTATGAGTTAAGGAGAATTTTTAAGGGGTGGGTCTTGATTTCTTATTCTTCAAACAAGGAGACAAGTAATTAAAGCAAATGACATTGTAATCACTAAATAACAACAACAACAAAAACCCTGACAGTTCATCTAAATAGTTTTGGCACCTCTGTCTCCACATATCTCTTATTAGTCAACTGTCCACACCCTCAATGATTACTTAAAATATTAAAAATCGGAGATAATTTAACAAAGCTCTTAAGACTCTTTCAATCTCGTTAGGATGTTATTGTTCCCTCAGCCTTTAATTGCGGAAGATGACGACTTTATCAAAATTTTATTTTCTTTTTCTTACTTGGCACCAAACTCATACTCAGCAAAGGCATAGAAGTCATAATTATTGAAGTATTTCTAGACATGAACTGCTATGTTCCTCACTTTTTAAGTTCCTATAAATGGCTTCTGTCCCTGAAAAAATGGTGGATTCTATAATTTATAAATATTTAAAGAATAGACAGAAAATACTATGAAAAGGCATTTTAAGCTGGTGGACTGACCCTTCAAGGTCCCTGCATGCACTTTTGTAAATCTAAACAATTTTATTCTGACTTCTCTCCATGCTTCTTTTGTCTTCTAACTTCACCTTCTTTGGTCCCTCAATTCCAGTTTAGTTTATAATAAAACAAAACAACAATGTGTGTGTGGAGATGGCAACTCCTAATCTCAACTGTCCCACACTATCAGTAATATATTTGATGCATATTTTTATACAATATGTTTTTTCTGTCATTTCTGGTGGTGAGAATCTGCCACATAATTCAAACTTCAGAGAGTTTGTGAACTGTAGAAGAGCACATGGGGTTCTGGTTAACTATTAGTGCATAACACATTAGGACCCCAAAATTCAATCGCTTAAAACACTTAAGTTACATGCTTTGTTGGGTAAGAAATTTGGAAAAACACAGCAGAGAATGGTTGACTCTGATCCATAATGTCTCTGACCTTTGCTGGAATGACTTCAGTCTGGTCACGGAATAGCTGAGAGCTGAGTAAGTCTCTCTCTCTATTTCTTTTTCTCCTCCCTTAATTGCTCCTTGTGACTATCATATGCTTCTTCAACAGGGAAGCCTCAGACAGACTTTTTCATGTTCCAGTAGACCACGGCAAAAGCTGCCAGCCTGGGGCTGAGATTGACCAGTAATAAAATGTCTCCTATTCAAAAAAGCCCAGGATCTGATGGCTTTATTGATGTATACTACCAAACATTTATAGGATAATTAATGCCAATCTTCTTAAACTCACTCAAAAATATGAAAAGGAAGAAATACTTTCAAACTCACTTTATGAGGTCAGCATTACCCTAATACCAAAGCCAGACAACGCAACTATAAGGAAATGCAGTTACAGGCCAATATCCCTGATGAACATAGATGCAAAAATCCTCAATGAAAACTAGCAAAATGAATTCAACAGCACATTAAAATGATCATACACCATGACTAAGTGGGATTCATCCTTAGGATGCAAGAATGGGTTAACATACACAAATTAATAAATATGATATGCCACATTAACATACTGAGGGATAAAAACCATATGATAATAGGTGCAGAAGAAGCATTTGATAAAATTCAATATTCTTTCATAACTAAAAGAAACTTTCAACAAATTAGGTATAGAAGAAACATAGCTTAATGTAATAAAGATAATGTATATCAAGTCCACTGCTATTCTCATTATCAGTGTTGGAAAGCTAAAA
The DNA here is from genome assembly GCF_000001405.40 of Homo sapiens. Classification (NCBI taxonomy): domain Eukaryota; kingdom Metazoa; phylum Chordata; class Mammalia; order Primates; family Hominidae; genus Homo; species Homo sapiens. Next base: position 685,940 of record NT_167245.2, read on the forward strand.
GCTTTTCTTCCGATATCAGGAGCAAGTCAAGGAGGCCCACTTTCACAATTTCTCTTCAATATAATTCTGACATTCCTAGCTATAGCAATTACACAAAAGAAATAAATAAAAGGCATCCAAACTAAAAAGGAAGAAGTAAAATTTTCTGTTTGCAGATGACTGGATCTTACATCTAGAAAACCCTAATGACTACACCAAAAACTGTGAGAACTAATAAATTTAGTTAAGTTCACAGGATACAAAATTAACTTACAAAAGCCAGTTGCATTTTTACAACAATGATCTATTTGAATAGGAAATCAAGAAAACAATTCTATTTACAATAATATCAAAGGTAAATAAAATACTTAGGGATAAATCTAACCAAGAAGGTGAAAGATCTGTACCTTGAAAACTATAAGGCATGGATGACAGAAATTGAAAAAGATACAAATAAATGGAAAGATATTCTTTATTCATGGATTGAAAGAATTCATATTGTCAAAATGCTCATACTTTCCTAAGCAAACTGTAGATTCTTTACAATCCCTATCAATATTCTAATGGAATTTTTTACAGAAATAGCAAAAGTACTAAAATTCTTATGGAACCACAAAAGACTCCAAATAGCCAAGGCTATCTTGAGCAAAAAGAACAAAGCTGGAGGCACAACTACCTGAACTCAAAATATACCACAAAGCTATAGTAATCAAAACAGTATGATACTGGCATAAAAACAGATACATAGAACAATGGAACAGAATAGAGAGCCCAGAAATAAATCTATGTACTTATGGTCAGTTGGTCTTTGGCAAAGGTGCCAAGAACATACAATGGGAAAAGAATAGTTTCTCCAATAAATTGTGTTGGAAAAACTTAATATTCCACCTAAAGAAGAATGAAATTAAACCATTGTCTCAAACAATACGCAAAAATCAATTTAATTGGATTAAAAACTGAAAGGTAAGACCTGAAACTAAAACTACTGGAAGAAAACAGGGAAAAACTTCTCAATGGTGGTCTGGGAAATGATATTTTTAAAATATCATACGTAAAGCACAGGAAACAAAATCAAAAATAAATACGATTCTACCAAACTAAATAGTTCCTATTTAACAAAAGAAAACATCAACAGAATGAAGAGACAACCTATGAAATGGGAAAACAATATTTCATAAAGAGTTAATATCCAAAATATACATTTTTTAAAAACTCAATAGCAAGAAAACAAATAGCCTAGTTTAAAAATGAGGAAAGAATCTAAATAGACATTTTTTCAATGAAATAGATATTTCCACACAAATGGCCAAGTGTATTTTTTAATGTTCAACATCATTAAATCAAAGGAAATACAAACTACAACCACGAGATATCACTTCACATCTGTTAGAATGGCTTTTATCAAAAAGACAAAAAATAACAAGTATTAATGAGGATATAAAAAGAGAACCTTTGTACATTGTTTTTGGGAATTTACATTTGTACAGCCATTATGGGGAACATATAGAGATTCCTCAAAAAACATAAAGGTAGAAATACCATATGATTCAGTAATCCCACTTCTGGGTATATGTCTAAAGGAAATAAAATCAGTATTTCAAAACCAAACATTGTATGTTCTCACTGATATGTGGGAGCTAAGCTATAAGGATGCAAATACATAAGAATGATACAGTGGACTTAGGGGACTTGGGGTGTAGAGTGGGAGGGGGGGTGAAGGATAAAAGACTACAAATACGGTGCAGTGTATACTGCTTGGGTGATGAGTGCACCAAAATCTCACAAATCACCACTAAAGAACTTACTCATGTAACCAAATACTACTTGTACCCCAATAACCTATGGAAAAATAAAAAAAAAATTAGTATTTCAAAGACATATCTGCACTCTTGTGTTCATTGCAGCATGATTCTCAATAGCCAAGATACAGAATTAGCCCAAAGGTCCATCAAAACAGAGAAGTGGATTTAAAAATGTGACCTATATAATGTGCATATAGCGTGGTGATTATAGTTAACAATACTGTATTATATACTTGAAATTTTCTAAACTAGAAGATCATAAATGTTCTCACCACACACATACAAAAGGTTGTAACTATGTGAGGTGATGGATGTGTTAATTGGCTTAATTGTGGTAATCGTTTCACAATGTATACATATCTCAAAACATCACAGTAAACATCATAAATATGTACAACTTCATGTGTCAGTCATACCTTAATAAAGTTAAGAGGAAGAAAACGACCACCAAACCCTCTAGGCAGGGGAATATATCAATAGGAACTTTAAAAACTGAAAAGCGAAGAAAACAAAGACTTATTAAAGCAGAGAAGAATATTCAAGGATTCTGGAAAAACTCCAAAATATGTAATACATACAATGGGAATATCAGAAGGAGTAGAAAAGTAGATAGGAACAGAAGAAATATTTGAAGCAATAACTGAAAATTTCCCCAAATTAATATGAGACATCAAACTTCAAATCTAGGAGGCTCAAGGAATACCAAGAAGCATAAATGCCAGAAAAACTATGGCTAGGAATATCATTTTTAAACTATGGAAAATTAAACAAAAATGAGAAAGTCAAAGATTTTTTTTAAATCATGAAGAAGCCAGAGGATAAAAAATACCATACCTTTAGGGAAGAAAAGATGACATCTGAGTTCGCAGAAGCTACAAAAGTTAGAAGAAAATAGAGTGAAATATTTAAAATTTTTGATAGAAGAAAAACCAATCTAGAATTCTGCACTACATGAAATTATCCTTCAAAAGTGAATGAGAAATAAACCTTCTCAGAGGAACAAAAATTGAGGGAATTTATTGCCAATAGACTTGCCTGGTAAAAAGTGATAAAATAAATTTTTTAGAGAGTAATAAAATTATACAAGTGAGACATTTCAATCCACCTTTAAGAACAGAAGAGCATTGAAGAAGAAATAAGTGAAAGTAAAATAAAAGAAAAAATATCTAATTACGTATGCTTATGTAAGTGTGTGTGTGTGTGTATGCTTTCATATGCTTAGGATGGTTTCATAACTTTGCTCTTGTGAAAAGTGCTGCAATTAACATACACATGCAGGTGTCTTGTTTGTACCATGATTTATTTTCCTTTGGGTAGATATCTAGTATTGGGATTGCTGAATCAAAGGGTAGTTCTAATTTTAGCCCTTTAAGAAATCTTCATACTGTTTTCCATAGAGGTTGTACTAATTTATATTCTCATCAACAGTATATAAGCATTCCCTTTTCTCTGCATTCTCACCAACATCTCTTGTTTTTGACTTTTTAATAATAGTTACTATTACTGGTATGAGATGATATCTCAGTGTGGTTTTAATTTGCACTTCTCTGATGACTAGCAATGTTGAGCTTTTTTTATATGTTTGTAGGTTTTGTAGGCTGATTGTATGTCTTCTTTTAAATGTAAGACCTGAAACTATAAAAATTTTAGAAGAAAACCTAGGAAAAACTCTTCTGAACATTGGCCTAGGCAAAGAATTTGTGACTAAGACCTCAAAAGCAAATGCAACAAAAATAAAAATAGACAAACAGAACTTAATTAAACTAAAAGGCTTCTGCACAGTGAAGGGAATAATCAACAGAGTAAACAAACAACCTACAGAATGGGAAAACATATTTGCAAATTATGCACCTAATACGGGACTGGTATCCAGAACTTACAAGGAACTTAAACAACTCAACAAGAAAAACAAATAAATAACCCCATTAAAAAGTGGACAAAGGAAATTTTTGTATTTAGTATATGCTTGAAATGTTTGTATTTTAAAATGTCAAAAGAAAAAAAAATTAGTACCTAACATTATCCTTTCGCACTGTGCCAAGAGTAGACATTCATTATAGTGCTTTTACATCTGTGAACACCCCCACTACATTGTGATCATTTCCTAGATTCCTTAACAGCTGGTAACAACCATGGAAATTAGGTCCTACCAATCAGCAAGACTATGCATGTGGAATTCAGTCTTCTCTGCATGAAACAGAGGAATCTGGTCCTTCTGGAGCATCAGTGATGGATCTAGAAGTACTCTAGGGTTGAGTAATGATGGCAGTGATATTTACGCCAACAAGAGACCCTCTGTGTTTCTGCATCTCATTCCTGGCAGAATAATTCAGAGTCTGACTCTCTTTACCTACAGGATAGTGTGTGAGCTATCAAATATTATATAAGAAAAAACAGCAGCTTAAATTAGCCAGGGTAGCTTATGTTGTTTGCAACTGAAACCACACCAAGAAAATTCACTTCTCTCAATTACTCACTCCTGATTTTAGTTACATATGCACACAGACACACAGAATAGAGCCTGATATGGTTTGGTTTTATGTCCCCACACAAATCTCATCTCAATTGTAATCTCCCATGTCAAGGGAGGGACCTGGAGGGAAGTGATTTCATCATGGGGGAACTTTCCCCCACGCTGTTCTCCTGACATATACACTAAGTAAACAGAGCTCTGGTCTATATAACCCTGGGAACCAACCACATCCTCTCTGTACTACTTACCTCCAGACTTCTTTTACTTGAGAGAAAAATTAACTTTTACTTACATGACAATTTTTACTTTTAAAACTTTGTATTGACAGTTTCTAATAGCTAAGTGTGATTCCTGGCTGACTGATATATAATGTACTAGAGAGCCATTTATTAAAATGGTGAATTTTGGAATTGAAAAAGGAACATAAAAACATTTGGAATAAAAGTTAATCATCACCTTTCCACAATGGATGATTAAAGTATTAGGGAAAACGTTAATTAGAAACTGAGTAATTGATAGATCTGACTGATACCACCTCAACTCACTGGACAATAATATAAATAGCATCTCTAAGAGTGGGACAACTAAATATCATGTGTCTCAGGATATGATGCAATAAAAATAACATAGCAACTTAAGTCAATGGCATGACAAAAAAGTGGGGTCTGCTATGTTATAAAGGGACTGGAAAGACAATAACAAAATACATTGTGTGAACCTTGTTTAGATCCTAATTTTAAGAAATTACTTAAAGATCAATGGAGAAATTTGAACATGGCTTGTGTATTAGATGATATAAAGGAAATACTGATAATTGTGCTAAGTATCATAATGGTATTGTGGGCATGGTTTTTTAAAATGTCTTTATTAGTCACAGATTATACTAAATACATATGTGGAATATGTACATACATAACTTACACAACATAATAGTTATACAACATCTGGAATTTGCCCTAAAATTTTCCATGAAAACTAACAAACAAGGAGCTGTAGCTAATTAAAATAAGATTAGCAAAATGTTGATGTTGAAGCTGGATGGTGGCTACATGGAGTACATGGGGGTTCACTGTGCTCTTCTCTTTTATGTATGTTTGAAATGTTCTACAAGAAAAGAAGTTTAAAAGAAAAGGAATTCAGCTTTAGATTTTTAAAAACACATATCCTTAGATCTTGCAATTTAGGTGCTAAAAGTTTATTACAGGAAAATCCAGATGTAAACAATGTACAGTAAAAGAATAGAATACAACTAAAAATTCCCAAAATAGAATAACAAATCATGTTTAGCCATACGATGAAGCCCAGAAGAATAAAGAAATAGATGCTTGTTAATAGAAAAAGTTGTTCGTGACACAGTGTTCAGTGGAAAACCAGATTACAAACTCCATGATCCAACTTGTATGTATAAATATAAATACACATAGAAAGAAATTTTTAAATGTCATACAACAATAATATAAAAAACAATATTTCTAGGTTTATTTTGGTATTGCTGTATTATTTTTAAATATTTATGACATATTTAATAAAGAACTAATCAAAGTTTAAATAATTTTGATTATTTGACATGGATGGAATTGGAGGCTACTATCCTTCGCAAACTAACACAGGAACAGAAAATCAAATACCGTATGTCTTCACTCATAAGTGGGAGCTAAATTATGAAAACATATGGATACATAGAGGGGAACAACACACTGAATCCTACTTGAGGGTGGAGGTTGGGAGGAGGGAGAAGATCAGGAAAAATGATTAATGAGTACTAGGCTTAATACCTGGGTGATGAAATAATCTGTACAGTAAACCCCCATGACACAAGTTTACCTATGTAACAAACCTGCACATGTACCCTTGAACTTAAAATAAAAGTTAAAAAATTGTTGCCCTATCATTTTCATTTTTAGTATAACTGCAGAAGAGTTCAAAGAGAATGGTCGAATAAGACAAAGTTACTCCTCTCCAACCCATCCTGGAAGAGTCCCCAATGGAGGTGTCCGAAGTCCAAAATAACATCTTCATTACTCTCCTTCAATCAAGTGTTTCAGTTTGTTTGATACAGAGAATCTTCCGAAGTGCCTGATGCACCTCCTTGTTCCTCATGGTATAGATCACAGGATTGAAGAGAGGGGTGACCACAGTGTAGAGCAGGGAGAAGACCTTGGAGAGGAGCTGGGAATGGACAGCAGAGGGTGCAACATAAAAGATCATGAGCGTTCCATAGAATGTGGTCACTACAGCTAGGTGGGAGGAGCATGTGGAGAAAGCCCTTCTCCTGCTTGCCCCAGCAGGAACTCTCAGCACTGCCACCACAATTCTGGCATAAGATGTCAGAATCAGTCCAAAAGGAATAGTGAGGCAGAACACAGACAGAATGAGAGTTGTCACCTGAGCCACTCTGGGATCCGAGCAAGCCAGGCCCACGAAAAGCATAAAGTCACAGTAAAACTGGTCAATGTGGTTGGGGCCACAGAACCTCAGCTGGGCCACCAGGGCCACAACCAGTCCATCTACCACAAATCCAGAGAGCCAGGTTGTGACCACCAGCCCCATGTACCGTCTGGGCCCCATCAGGAGTGGGTAGTGGAGTGGGTAGCAAATTGCCAGGTAGCGGTCATATGCCATGACAGCCAGCAGTAAGCATTCAGCTGTGGCTAGAGAGCCGAAGATAAAGAACTGGAGCAAGCAACCAGCCACAGAGATAGTTGCTTCTTGCAGGAAGCCCTCCAGCATTTTTGGCATCACTGCGGAGGTGTAGAGAATATCCAGGAAGGACAGATTCGCCAAGAAAATATACATGGGTTTGTGGAGCCTCTGGGAGCTAACCACTGCTACAATAATCAGCATATTCCCTATGATGATGAAGACATAGACAGCAGTGAATACAATAAAAAACAAGAAATGCAGTTCAGGGATGTCATAGAAGCCAAGGAGGACAAATTCAGTAATAGTTTCGTTTCCTGTGGAGACAATTTCCATGTCGATCGTCCAAGTTTCTGCTTGGCAATAATTGGGGGAGAAATTTTAGCATGTCTCTGCATCTTCTATACCAAGCCTAACGTTATTAGAGCTAAAACAAAACAAAACAAAAAAGACAAAAATGAGTCTCTAAAACAAGACTCGCTCACGCAAGTCTTCAACTATCCCCCTTCTTAGTTGTCATTCCTTCCTCAACTCTCATCCTTCCCTGCCTTCCTTAATTGTGCATATTCTTTAACGCTCAGAAGAGTTTATCCAAACTCATAATTTTAGTCTTTCAAAGACCTTTACCCCATTAATTCAATCTACTACCTCTTTCGCATAATCAACTCTATCATTCTTATCTGTATAGTCAGCCATAGCCTCCTTCTTGTGCACCAGTATAATATTCTCCAAATGTGTGCTATATAGACATGGCCCACAACTGCAAACTCTTCTATCTTTCTCAATCACAACCAATTCCTCTATGAGTGGTTTGAGAATTCTGTCTAATCCCCATGGTCACTATCTCATTCTTCTCATTATCTCAACCGCCCCTTTCATTCCCCATCTCCTAATCAGTGATACCTTACCAACTGTTCCTCGGATAATTCTTATATATTCTTCACTTATTGCCTTCCTTAAATAGTAGTTTCATCAAGTCATTCAGGAGTTGGTAGTGAAAATGTGGTAAATGGTAATAGCGAAGGAAGTAGGTGCCATGGGAGCAGAGAAGGACCAAACCCAGCCTGGGGTTGTGGGGCAGAAGGTGTGGGATCAAGGTCGGGGAAGGCTTTCTGAAGATAGAAGCAAGTAGGCTAAGTTTTGAGGGCCAATTAAGAGTTGGCCAGGAGGCCGGGCTTGGTGGCTCACGCCTGTAATCCCAGCACTTTGGGAGGCTGAGGCGGGTGGATCACGAGGTCAGGAGATCGAGACCATCCTGACTAACACAGTGAAACTCCGTCTCTACTAAAAATACAAAAAAAATTAGCCGGGCGTGGTGGCGGGCGCCTGTAGTCCCAGCTACTCGGGATGCCGAGGCAGAAGAATGGCGTGAACTCAGGAGGCGGAGCTTGCAGTAAGCCGATATCGCGCCACTGCACCCCAGCCTGGGCAATAGAACGAAACTCCATCTCAAAAAAAAAAAAAAAAAAAAAAAGAGTTGGCCAGGCAAAAGACAGGAAACCAGACCAGGCAGGGCATCCCTGGCAGGAAAGCATATGCAAAAGCAAAGAGTTGTAACTGAGCATGACACTTCTAAATATCTGAAAATGGCTCTGTCATACCTGCTGGAAGGTTTTCATATGCTATTCAAAGCAATATGTGTTTATTAACTGAAGACAATGAGAGAGAATACAGGGAATGATTAGAAACAGTTGAGAAAGGTAGAGAAAAAAAGCAGATATCATATAAATAAATATAAATACATAATACTAACAGTGTTACTTTCTAGAATATGGGATTAATAAACATACATTATATTTATTATCACAAAAAATGTAAGTTATCTTTAATACAAATAGTCTAGAACATCAGTTTCCTAAGAGGTGAAAAACTGGATGCCTCAGGGACCACAGTGCTGGGAGCCTTCACGGCACACTGTTTTGTAGTTTTGCCTAAGACCAAATCTGCCTTTTGAATGGAATCCCATTTTCCATACCTCTGCTCATTGCTAACGTTAAATCCTCGAAGACCCAGCTTAAGAACTTATCTCTACCAAGAATCCCCCTTGACTAATAGAGCCCTTTATTTCTCTCCCAATCATGTACTAAGGATCTAGTGTATAGAAGATATTACATCTGTTTCTGAGGATAGTGGGCCAAACAAAACTGGTCCATACTCTTAAGGAGTTTACACTCTTGTGTGACAGATGGACATATCAACAGAAAATTGCAATACGCCAAAAGACAGTTAATGAATTCAACCTGAAAGAAATAGTACTAGGAGGAAGTGATGCTGAACTGATGAGTGATTGCAGTGGAAAATGGAAAGAATGGAGGTGAGGGCATTTTAGGTAAAAGGAAAACCATGAGTACACACTGAGGCAAGAAACAACATTGGATGTGAGGAGGAGAAAGAGGTAGCAGGGGGTAAGTAGCCAAGGGTAGCTCAAACAAACCCCTCGATTCTGAAGGAGAATTAGGATTGAGGTGAAGAATGGGGGAAGACAGGGAGAGAAAGGGGCCAGGATCAGAGTCTGGGGACCCTTGCTTGTCACAAGAAGGAACTAGAGCTTCATTCTATAGGCAGCAAGGCACAGCTGAAGGCTTTTAAACAGTACAGTGGCATGTTTCAACCTAAATTTAAATAGTATTATGGAAGCTACATCCAAGGTAACAAGAGTGAAAGAAGGGATGGCCCCACTCATCTGATACTTGATGTGCAAATACATGCTGCCTTGAGTTCATCATTAATTATCTTATGGTATGCACTTTCTCTTTTCCAAAAGACTAAAAGTTCATTTAGCACAGGATTTAAATTTTTATAAGTGCTACTGTACCGAAGTCTTACAAAAAGATATATTCTCAATGAATACTTAATGTTTAACACCATGTCTTCCTTAACCTAAACCCATATGAATTGATCAGAGAAGAATTCTGTTCTTCATAGACTACAAAATTCCACAGGTTCTGTTATTGCCCTCCAACTCCCGTCTCTAAAGCTATTCTCTTACCCTTTGATCCCATCTGCATTTCCTTGTGAGTGAATCTGGCACTCCCTATGTGGGCCATCTTTAACTCTAGATTATTTTATCTGGTCCAAACTCATTCTGAGGCTTGGAGTCTTTCTATAGGATTCCTGCCAGGAGAGAGGTGAGCATGTAAATCAGGCAAGAATACCTCTAATAATAAATAGCTCATGACCACTACCTCCCCTGGAAATCAAGAGTATCATTGGAGCTGGAGGCTATTATTTTAAGTGAAATATCTCAGAAACAGAAAGTCAAATATTGCATATTCTCATTTATAAGTGGGAGCTAAATAATGTGTGCACATGAACACAGAATTCAGAATAATAGACATTGGAGACTTGGAAAGGTGAGGTGGGAAGGGGTGAGGGATGAGAAATTACCTAATGGGTATAATGCACACTATCTGTGTGATGGTTACACTAAAAGCCCAGACTCAATCGCTACACAATATATTCATGTAACAAAACTGCACTTGTACCCCTAAATCTGTAAAAGTAGATATGAAAAGAAAAGAAATGGGAAAAACACAGAAACAGTAGGATATATGAGAGGCTGTTATTCCCTTAAAGACAGAGGGGAATCAGGGAATAGAGGAAGTTGATGAATTTAGAGTTGAAAACTCCAAGGAATAGAGCTGAATTTGGAATTGGAAAACTCAAAAAACTGCAGGAAGAGTTTGAAATCAACAGGAATTTCACCATACTGACTGGTAGAGAAGTGAGAATAGTGCAAAATGCCTGTTTGTTGTCTAACGAACAATCAGTCACACACTCAATTCTAAGTAAAAACCATAACCCTCATTCAACCCAGACTCTGAGATAGCATAGAGTCCTTAATTAAAACTAACAATTCAAAGAATATTCCAGGAAAAAATATTTTAAAAAATATATACAAAACTGTACATTTTAATTCATCTTTAGGTATTAGAAAAAAATTTATTCTCATATTTTGAAATGTCTGCTAAACAAACATGTTATGTTTGTAAGCAGAAAACCAAAAAGTTAATTCAGTTTGATTTTTTTAATCTGTTAATTCTCCTCAAGTCTCTTCAGTAATTACTCCATAATAAAACATTAAAATATACTTAAAAGGTTTTAAAAGAAAACAGTATAATTTTAAGTATATCCCAGTTTTGTCAAGCCATGGGATAGCAGGAGGAAAACTTTCCACCATGAAAACATTAGTATGAGGGTGTCTCGCTTCTTCCTACTCTGTAACATATCAACTGAAGCTTGGGGAGCATGAATATCTACTGTTCCCCATCTCCAAAAGAGAAGAGAGAATTAAAAAAATAAGTCAGTATGCACCCAGAAGGATTAGAAATCAACTTTTAAAAACATCCAATGGAGAAAAGAGCAGCACTGGTATTCTAGAGAAATACTGCGGGACTTCTTGAAATGATTTTTAATAAAAGACTTTTTGACTCTCTGGGTTAATTGAAAGTTGCTAGTGATTACAGGATAAACAGCTATAAAAACCAGCCATTTAACTTTTTTAAAGAATCTGTGAACTAAGCTGTAAAGAATTTTACAAAAATAAACGTACCCGAAATATCGACCCTGTTCTCTAAAGACAGGACTGTGAGGAGGAGATGATCTGCTAAGATTTGCTGAAGACTTCAGAATGTTGGAATTTCCTACCTTCAGCTCCCTCCCTGCTTGAGCTCAACCTGAAGTAACGTAGAACATTGATTACAAATGTCACCCTTGTTACCCTCCACTCCTGAGCCATTTTCTCTTCCACCCTCCATCCCCTTTTCTAGCTCTCAGGCTATTCTGTCCTTTCATCGCAGTCCTTTCCCTCTATCACATGGGAGGGCAGGAAATTGCCACAAAGGGAGAGGCCCCTGAGAACCAATTACAGATTTACTGGAGAGCAGCCTGAAATGAGCAAGACATAGCAGGCCCCTAAGGAAATTGTATTTTTTCAAAGGCGGTTTCCTGAACTGTTGGCTTGACCATAAACGGAGCAGAAACCAAAAGAGCCAAATGGAGCCCACCTTTCCATCCCCTTGGGGACAAATGCTCTCCATTTCACCAAACATCTAAAGCCCCAATTCCTAGTCTCCATAACTCACCAGAAAATTCTGATTTCTCTGCAACATCCCTAAATTCCCCATTACCAACAGTGGTCCTCCCAGGAGCCTGCCCTCAACTTTCATTCTCCAATCTACAGCCTCCAAATCGCCCTCTTACCATCCCAGGCAATTGTTTCAATAGGTACCACCCTTAGTAGGGGTGTTTTATATAGATCATCAAAATCTTGCCAATGCTGAGCCTGATTTAAGGAGAAGGAAGGTGGCGTGATGTTACAAAATGACGTTGAAATGGTTATGTAGCGTTTCAATATCCTTCCTGACCAAATTACTGCCCAACAACTTTGTCTGCCACTACTCCCTTTTTTGAAGCTTCCACAGAAATCAGGCTGATATATTTATTTCTCATCCCTAGGAGTGTGTTGAAGGCACTTCTGTGTCATTTATCAAACTCAGACCCTAACTTCAGCTCCACTTTCTCCCTGACCAACCGAGAACACTTTTTCTCTGAACTACGTTGTCTACTATCTGTAGTTCACAGTAAATGCCACCCTATTTTTTCTTGGCAGCAGGAGGGGTTCTCTTAATCGTTTATTTTTTTCATCAAACAGCAGCATATGCTAAAAGGTAAGTATATGTGTCTTGAAAAGAAAACTTTTGGAAAAATGTAGCATTTTTTAGTTAGCCTACATTATTATGATTTTTAATTGACAAATTAAAATTGTATATATTTATGATGTATAACATGATGTTTTGACATATGTATACATCATGGAATGACAAAATCAAGCTAATTTACATGAACCATTACCTCACATACTTATCATGTTTTTGTGATGAGAACACTCAGATCTACTCTTTTAGCAATTTTCACATATACAATTCATTAATTATAGTCACCCTTTCATATAATAGATCTCTTGAATTATCTCTCTTGTCTAACTGTAATTTTTGTAACCTTTGACCAATATCTTCTCAATTTTCTCCCTTTCTTCCAGCCCCTGGTAACCACCATTCTATTCTCTGTTTCTGTGAGTTTGACTTTGTAGATTTCATGTAGAAGGGAGACCATGAGGTATTTGTCCTTCTGTGCCTGACTTATTTCAGTTAATATAAGGTCCTCCAGATTCATCCATGTTGTTGCAAACAACAGAATTTCCTTCTTCTTTAAGGCTGAATAGTATTCCACTATGCATATATACCACATTTTCTCTATCCATTCATCTGCTGAGGGATGCTTAGGTTTATTCCACATCTTGGCTATTGTGAATAATACTACAATGAACATGAAAGTGTAGATCTCTCTTCTTATTTCCTTTGAATATATACACAGACAAGGGATTGCTGGGTCATACAACGGTTCTATTTTTAATTTTTTCAGAATTTTTCAGAAACCTCCACAGTGTATTTAATGACTGTACTAATTTACGCTTCCACCAAAAGTGTATGAGTTCTCCTTTTCCACATTTTCATCAACATTTATCTCTTATCTTTTCTGTAGTAGGCATTCTAACAAGTGTGAGGTGATATCTTATTGTGAATTTAATTTGTATTTCCCTGATGACTAGTGATGTTGAGCATTTTTTCTTGTACCTGTTTGTCATTTGTACGTCTTCTTTTGAGAAATGTCTATTCAGGTGCTTAGCTCATTTTAAAATTGAGTTATTTGTTTCCTTGTTATTGATTTGTTTAAGTTCCTTATATAGCTTGAATTTTAGCCACTTACATGTATCATTTACAAATATTTTCTCTCAACCTGTGGGTTGTCTTTTCACTCTATTGTTTCCTTTGCTGCGGAGAAATGTTTTAATTTGATGCAATCCCATTTGTTTACTTTTGGTTTTGCTGTCTGTGATTTGAGGATCATATACAAGAAATCTTGCCCATACCAACGTCATGGAACTTTTCTCCTATATTTTCTTCTAATAGTTTTACAGTTTGCAGTCATATGTTTAAGTCATTAATCCATTTTGAGTTAATTCTCATATATTGAGTGTCATAAGGATCCAATTTCATTCTTCTGCATGTGGATATTCAGTTTTCCAACATCATTTATTAAAAAGACTTTTCTTTCACCGTTTCATGTTCTGTTTATATGATCATATGGTTTTATCTTTAATTCTGTTAATGTTATGTATCACATTTATTGATTTGTGTGTTGAACCATCCTTGCATCTCAGAGCTAAATCTCACTTGATCATGGTGAAAGATCCTTTTAGTATACTGTTAAATTTGGTTTGATAGAGAAACACAACTTCAGAGATAATTCAAGTTTAAGATGGGAAAGTCTGACTAATCTTAATTCTTACAGATATTTTAGCAAACTTTTTGTCAAAATACATTTTATGGACTTTTTAAGGTCATCAGTTCAGACCACAGTCCCATGGATAAAGACAAGGATCTGTGGGGAGTAGATGTTTGTATTGTTAATCACCCTGGTGAGAGGTTAATCCTGGGGTATAAATGAAGTCTCCAAAAGTAGGTGATATATTAGCATGAAAAATACATTTCTACCTTCCCTTGTGTCCTGGGGTCAATTTGGCCTAAACTGCAAGACGTGAAAAGATTATAAGTAGTTCCAAATGAAATGAAATATACCCTTGGCCACATAAATTACCTAGTGGAATTCAAGTGTGTGTGGATCAGTATAACAGCATATAATTCTCTGCACTACATTTACTTTCCACTAAGTTAGAACTACAGTAAATTATTCTATAAGCTACAACTTGATATATGTTGTACTAGGAGAATTCTAAGAGGGCCTGTGGCCTTGCTTAGAAAAAGCAGGTACAGGGGACAGTGGTTGCTGTTCCCACAGCCAGGGTGGAGAAAGCAATGTCAACCACTGCAAAGGATGACAAAATAAAAAGAGTCAGTCAGCTCTCACAGAGCAGCAGCTTGAAGGCACAGAAAAGACACAAGAGAGGAAGGACCAGAGGAGACATTCCTGAACACATCTTGCAAACTCTCAGAAGTGACTATGGGATGCTTCACGGGGGCTAACTTCAAGCTCAAGTTTGACAACCATTTATGTTGTTTGGCTTTGGTCACATATATATCCTATTTTGTATCAGTAATTCCAGTTGGAAAAGAAACCACACATTTCCATGAGTCTCCCATGTTACTAAAATATTTCATAAGCTCGAGCTCAGTGATGTTTTCTGATTATTTGTTCCTTAGACTCCAGCCTAGGCATCCAAGGCAATCTGAATCCATAGAAACTTTAATAACAGTACATCATGGACCTAACCCAAAATATTGTTCAATCTCTTATCTTTGAAAACTTCTTGAGGATTAACAATATATTTTAATACAAAAGAGATAGTATTCAACCCAGCAGGATTTTACAAAAACAAATTATAGCTCTTTGTGGTTTCTGTTAGAGATTTACATAGTCTTACCATTTAGATTTCTTCTTCACTAGACTACGAATTAGAAGTAAATATTATCCAGGGCAGATGGTGTATCCTATTCATCTTTGTATCCCAAGAATATTTTAGCTGTGTCATAAATGATTAGTGAATAAGTAGCAATGCATGAATGCATGAATGAAAAAATAAAAATGGTCACTTGATTCATAATCCCTGGCCTTCTAAAAATATATTAACACAATGTCCGGTTGAAAAGAAAGTTCCAAACATTCCACCAGTAGACATGACTAGCAATAGAGTTGACCTTCATTATTTGTGGATTCAGTATTTGCAAAGTCACCTGCTCCCTAACATCTATTTTTAACCCCTAGCTCAATACTCACAGCACCTTCGCAGTCGTTCATGGACAAGTGCATGAACACAGTGACAAAAAGTTTGAGACACACTGTATGCATCCCCACCTGATGCTGAGCAAGGAAACGCTCTGTCCTCTTGTTTCAGCTATTATACTGTAAACAAGTGTCCTTTTCATGATTTCCTGATTTGCTGAATGCCATATTTTTCACATTTTTTGTTTGTTTTTTGGTGATTTCATAATTCAAAATAGCCCCAAATGTAGCGCTGAAGTGCTGTCCCATGCTCCTGAGCACAAAAATGTTGCAATGGATCTTACGGAGAAAATGCATTTGCTAGATAAGCTCTGTTCAGGCATGTGTTATAGGGCTGTTGGCTGTGGGTTCAACGTTAATGATCAACGATATATATTATATAAGATGTGTTTAAACAGAAACACACTTACAATAAGGTTATTTATTGATCAGGTGACAAAAATGTGACCAAAAACTCATAGGAATCTAACCCTGCATCTCCCCTAAAGCAAGGAATTATTTAATATTTGCTCCTACAGGGTTCAAGGCAACTTTATAGAATGCAACTGCAGTGAATAATAAGAATCAGCTGTGTCTGCATTTTAAAGATGAGAAATATGAGTCTCATTAAAATGAAGTGAATTGTACAAAGTTATAGAATAGGTTAGTCATAGAGCCAGCATTAAAACCCTGGCCTAGTTCAGTGCTCTGTCAGCTGTATCTTCAGTTCTGAAAATGCAATAAGAAAAGATAAAATACGGAATTCAGTCGGCCAGTGGCCCGCAATCCTCTTCTCTCGGTTCCTCTTTCCTCGCTCAAGATGGCGCTGCTCGCGAAGCGTTCTTGGCGTTGGGCGGCCGCAGCGGCTGCTTTCGAAAAGCGCCAGCACAATGAGATACCATCTCACACCAGCTAGAATGCCGATCATTAAAAAGTCAGGAAACGACAGGTGCTGGAGAGGATGTGGAGAAATAGGAACACTTTTACGCTGTTGGTGGGACTGTAAACTAGTTCAACCATTGTGGAAGTCAGTGTGGCGATTCCTCAGGGATCTAGAACTAGAAATACCATTTGACCCAGCAATCCCATTACTGGGTATATACCCAAAGGATTATAAATCATGCTGCTATAAAGACACATGCACATGTATGTTTATTGTGGCACTATTCACAATAGCAAAGACTTGGAACCAACACAAATGTCCAACAATGATAGACTGGATTAAGAAAATGTGGCACATACACACCATGGAATACTATGCAGCCATTCTGCATCTTTCTAATGACAAGAATATTCTCCAGCATAACCACAATACTATTATTACACCCAAGGGAATTAACATTGAACCAATAATATAAAACCCATATTCAACTTTCCCACTTGTTCCAAATCTTTTTTATAGTTGTTTTTATTTTGTTTTGTTGATGACGTAGGATCCAGTCAAAAATCATGAATGACATTTTATTGCCATGGCTTTTGGTCTTCTTCAATCTGGAACGATGTCATCTCCCATCTTTGCTTTGTCTTTAAAGACATGGATATTTTTTAAGAGTTTGTGTCAGTTGTCTATAGAATATGCCACAATATGGATTTGTCTGACTGTTTTCTTATACTCCAATTAAACATTTTTAGCAATAATACTACATAGGTTACACTAAGAGTGGACAAATAGCAATCCAAATTATTCTACTCCATTCTGTTCCCTGTAACATTAATGGCATCATCTTCAGCCATAACAGGGCTACACTCTGGGAGTAGATGACTGATGAGCTGAGAGAAAACAGATTCCTGAGGAATTCTGGATCAGAGCAGCCATATTTCCCTGAACTACAAATCTTTAGACATTTAAGTGAGAGATAAATTTTCATTCTCTTTGAGCCATTGGCATTTCCATTACTTTCAGCCAAATCTAATAAATAAATGAAATGATAAAATATAAAGGAGTCAGAAGAAAACTAAGTACGAAATCCAGTTTATGTAAACCCTGAACTTCTAGTTATATAAATTAATAAGTAAATTTATTACTTAAACCCGTTGGAGTTGGGGCTTGTTATAATGGTTGGTATGTCTTGAAAACATTCTATTTGACACACAGCTTTTATCACATCTATGAAAATGTATAAAAACACAGAAGAAACAAATCAAATAATAGATACCAATGATAAAAATGCAAAGAAAGATTTGTATAATAAATGAAAAAGAAATCAAAGCAAGAAAAATTAGTGACAATTGTATAAGAAAATGACATTTAGCACCTCAATTAGGTCAAAACATGTTTATTTCTCTTTTATATTATTAGTTACCTGTAGAATCAATAAAACCTGCAAGGGACCCTATAAATAGTTATCAAATAAATTGATTACTGGATTATATCAATATACATAAGAAGGGTAAAATTGCATTATTACTTTTTGTAGATGTACTAGAACATCTACAGTGATGGGAAAAAATCATGAGAAAAAAGAAGAAAATTAAAATGGTTGAACCAGAGATATGGGAGAACTAAGAGAAACCAATAGCTCTGGATATATTCTTTGAAATGTTCTTAACAGGTCATTCTGTATTTCTTGCAATCTAAGAAACAGATTCAAAATAACAGATTAATTGGTTTTGTGAAGCATTCTCCCCATTGGAAAGCCAAGAATGCTTGGAGACTCAGATCCTCAGAGAGCTTAAAGAGAGACAACAAACCTAAGAGAGGCTTCCTCAAGAGGGATCCACTATGTAGATAAAAAAGAAGATAAGCAAGTCACAAATGCCATCTGCCTTCACTGGTTATTTCTCCAAATAGAAAATAGAAAGACACCTTTGAGATAATATCTTCTGGAAAACACTGAAAGAGCCCCCAGAGGAGAATGAACCAAGGGCTCTTCAACTGCAAAAGGATATCAGTGTGTGGACTTGTATTTCTAATACACAACCTTGAATATGGCTGGAATATTGAATTTGTGTATATATTCAAGTGTATCTTTGGGTGTTTATAGTTTTATGTTCAGTGTATTTAGACTTTTACTGTTATCTGTAATAATGCCAATAGAATACATGATTTGCAACTTTAGATAAATCTGGCATCTGGGAATATTAGGCTATTCTTCTGTGCCTGTATTTTGAAATATAATTTGACAGTGTGTGAATTTGTGGAGTTTATGTGTGTAGTTTGGGGATTTTCATGTTTACAATGTAAGAGGACTAAGTTTGAAAGTCTGTAAGATGCAGAAATAAGCAATTAAGGAAGTTCTTGTCATCTTTTGCCTGAGCATGTTTTAAAACTAGAGAAATGCTCACCCCTCTAAATAGTTGAACTGTTTAATGCTATAGGAGCTTAAAAAGAGAGGATCTTTCTCATTTTTTTTCTCCTCCTTGAACACTGTGAAATTTATGGTAAAATGACAGAAAAAGAAGAAAGACTAAGTGAATCTGGTAACTAAAGAAAGAGCTGGAAAAAAGAAAACTAGAGGGCAAGAGGTGATAAGAGAGGTCACCTCTTATCAGACAGGAGACAAGTTGATGGAGAAAAAGATCTGCTATGAGGGAAAATTCTGTCTCCAGCCCTGCAGGAAGAATTGGAAAATCAGAAAAGAGTGAAAAGGGAGCTAGACTGACTTAATCTTCAGCCCAGGTAAAACTGGAAAGACAGTTTAACATGTTCTTTAGAATGATAGGCACTATCAGGAAGAGATGAAGTCAGGGATTCAGGCTCAGAGAGACAAATACTCATCCAGGATCCCAAGAGTGAGCAAGGGTGGAATATGGACTCCAGGCAAGGCTGCCTAATTTCAAAGTCCATGATATTCTAATAGAAAGGGAGATCTAGTGCTGCGATCAGATGCAGAGAGAGGTCATCTTTGCCCATTTCACGATTCCATAGTTGTGATTTTTCCTTGCCATTTCTTTTGTCTTCCAGTCAAAGGTATGCAGGCAGGATGAGTGCAAACACCTCCATGGTGACTGAGTTTCTTCTTCTCGGCTTCTCCCACCTGGCCGACCTCCAGGGCTTGCTCTTCTCTGTCTTTCTCACTATCTACCTGCTGACCGTGGCAGGCAATTTCCTCATTGTGGTGCTGGTCTCCACTGATGCTGCCCTCCAGTCCCCTATGTACTTCTTCCTGCGCACCCTCTCGGCCTTGGAGATTGGCTATACGTCTGTCACGGTCCCCCTGCTACTTCACCACCTCCTTACTGGCCGGCGCCACATCTCTCGCTCTGGATGTGCTCTCCAGATGTTCTTCTTCCTCTTCTTTGGCGCCACGGAGTGCTGCCTCCTGGCAGCCATGGCCTATGACCGCTATGCAGCCATCTGTGAACCCCTCCGCTACCCACTGCTGCTGAGCCACCGGGTGTGTCTACAGCTAGCTGGGTCGGCGTGGGCCTGTGGGGTGCTGGTGGGGCTGGGCCACACCCCTTTCATCTTCTCTTTGCCCTTCTGCGGCCCCAATACCATCCCGCAGTTCTTCTGTGAGATCCAGCCTGTCCTGCAGCTGGTATGTGGAGACACCTCGCTTAATGAACTGCAGATTATCCTGGCAACAGCCCTCCTCATCCTCTGCCCCTTTGGCCTCATCCTGGGCTCCTACGGGCGTATCCTCGTTACCATCTTCCGGATCCCATCTGTTGCGGGCCGCCGCAAGGCCTTCTCCACCTGCTCCTCCCACCTGATCATGGTCTCCCTCTTCTATGGCACCGCACTCTTTATCTATATTCGCCCTAAGGCCAGCTACGATCCGGCCACTGACCCTCTGGTGTCCCTCTTCTATGCTGTGGTCACCCCCATCCTCAACCCCATCATCTACAGCCTGCGGAACACAGAGGTCAAAGCTGCCCTAAAGAGAACCATCCAGAAAACGGTGCCTATGGAGATTTGAAAAGGGGGCGATAGTGACTTCTGTGCAGTGCTCTGAGTCAGTCCCAAATACCTAAGGATCAAAGAGTCTCCCTTAAGGTCTTTCTTCACATTAGGGGAGGGCCAGCCTGTCAGAAAGACAAACTTATCTTTGAAAAGCTACCGTAGTCAAATGCGCTCCTCAGACCCTCACAACACATACATATTCTATTCCGCTTTCTGTTGCAAGAAACAAGAAACCCAGGATGGAGGATCAATTTCAGAAGCAGAGCAAGTTGACAACCAGGGATAAAGTTACAAAATATTATCCTTATCAGACTAGCAAGGTAATAAAATTTTCAGCCACAACAATGATCCTTAAAGTCATTTGACATTTGTACGTCCTAGGTAAGGCATTTGTTTCTTGGGTGGTACTACTGGTTAGTACCTTAGCAAACATAATTATACCTAATTAAATCTACTACCAGCTAAAGACAGATTCCTCAAGAAGTAAGGAGTGGCCACAAAAGTTTCAATGAAGGTAAGTTCTTATGGAAATTCATATGCCGCAGAGGTTAAGAGAACAGATTCTGATGTCAGACAGACTTAAAGTCAAGTCTTATTTTTTCCAGCTAGTTAGCTAAGTGATCACAGGTGAATGATATAATCTCTCTGAGCCTTAATTTTTTTAAATTTTATTTTAGATTCAAGGGTACATGTGCAGGTTTGTTATATAGGTAAATTTCACCTCACAGTGATTATTTAGTCACCCAGGTAATAAGCATAGTACCTGATAAGCAGTTTATTGATCCTCACCCTTCTTCTATCCTCCACCCTCAATTATGTCCTGGTATCTGTTGTTCCTTTCTTTGTGTTCATGTGTACTCAGTGTTAGGTCCCACTTTTAAGTGAGAATATATGGTATTTGGTTTTCTGTTCCTGTGTTAGTTTGCTTAGAATAATGACCTCCAGTTCCATCCATGTTGCTGCAAAGGACATAATCTGTTTGTTTTTTGTTTTGTTCTGTTTTGTTTTTATGTGAGCCTTAATTTTCTTATCTATAAAGTTGCGGTAACAACAGAGTCTAATTCATTGGGTTTTTGTGAGGATTTGTAGACTTGCAAACAATCAAGCTTAATATCTGGCACAAAATAGTATCTTGATAGATGTTTTTGTTAGCAAGTCAGACAGGTCAGCGCAAAGGCTAATGTTTGGCTCACATGGGGTGACTTTGCTGGGAAGAGAAGGGTATTCTTGAAATATCAGTGGCATTGGAACCCACAAGAGACCCAGAGGAAGGTGGAAGAAGAGGCTCTATACATCACTGTTAACAGAAACTGCTACCCAGCACAGATATGAGCCAAAAACTACCAAGACACGGAAGAGCAAATATAAGGGCTATGATATGCAGGAGAGTCAGTGAACTGCAGAACAAATAAGTGGAATAAGCTGAGAGGGTGAATCAAAAACAGCCATCTCCAAGAGGCAAGTATTTATTAATAATTAAAAGTGCAATCTACATACTTTATATCATTCCAACACTTTATTCAAATGCAACAGTATTTATTGCAAACTTTCTATGTGCCTATTGCTCTTTGGCACTGTGGAGAATATCAAGTACATACAGGGTGGTGATTCTGTCCAGAGAGCACTTGCTGTCCTGTTAAGAAAGCACTGATTCTCATGAAACTATCAGAGAACAGTTTGCAAAGTAAGAAAACACTCAAAATGTAAAGCGAAAAGACAAAGGTGTTACTCCCTGTCCCCACCCCCCAAAAGGGGTTGTGTGGCCTTCCTCAAACTCATTTTATCAATGTGGAAAACCTCACAACTACTGCTCTTCAATTGAACAAAACTGCAATAGCGAGGAACAGCATTTAAGAAGGGTTGCCTAAAGGATTGTCAAAACAGCTTTTCCTCTGATAATTTAAAATCTAAATCTTATCCCCAAGCTAAAGCAGATGAGCACAGAGCTACACATTTAAAATGCTGAAATATTTCCACTTCCTACATATCTCCATCAACTCATCTTTCCTAGAACTGGTCTTGCTAAAGAGTGTTTTGGCATTAAGCCATTGGTTTACATTGAGAAAGATTACAAGAAGCAACATTATGAAACTCTCAGAGGGATCATTTTTCTCATATCTCAGTGATAGGAATCACTGTATTTTTCCTGTCATATAAGCAATAACATTTCCTCACAGTTTTATGGAAGTACAATTGGCATATGACAAATTGTACATGTTTAAGTGTGCAATTTGATAAGTTTTGACCCATGTATGCACCATGACATTATAGGCGCAATCACGAAATGAACATATCCAGCCCCCGTGCTCCCTCACACTCCATTGTAATCTCTCTCTTTCACCCCTCCCTGCACTCCTCATTCCCAAGCAACCTCTGATCTGCTTCCCAGCACTATATTTTTCTTTTTTCAGAGTTTTATATAAATGAAATTATAAAATATGTACTCTTTTTAGTCTGACTTATATTTGGAGATTTGGCCATGTTGTGGTGTGTACAGCAGCCATTCCTTTTCATTTCTGAGTGATACTCCATTGTATAGATATGACATAATTTGTTCATCCATTCACCTGCTGAAGGAAATTTGGGTTGTTTTCACAATTTTTTATTTATTCACCTGCTAAAGGAAGTTCAGGTTGTTTCCAGTTTTTGGTTCATAGAATGAAGGTTCTATGAACATTTGTGTACAAAGTCTTTGTATGCTTTCATTTCTCTGGGGTAAATACATAGATGTGAAATGGCTGCATCACATGGGAAGTGTATGTTTAATTTTTTAAGAAATTAAGTAATCACTTTTCCTCTTAACATGACAGCTAGCAAGTTTCCACCTGAATTTGTAACTCATCTCCAGGAAATGTGCAATTCCTCACGATATATTTTTGAGATATCTAGTTTCTGGTCTCACTTGCTGTTGTTGTTGTTGTTCTATTCTACCTTTTTCTTTGTCCAGTCTCTCTCATCCTTATTTTCTGTACATTTATGTAACCCAGCACATTAGTCTTTCTGGAGCAAGACTTAGAGCCACCAATCAGTAATTAAAAAAAAAAAAATAGACAGGGGAAAGTATTGAATGGAAAATCCCTGGTTATATGGTTTGGCTCTATGTCCCCACCCAAATCTCATCTTGTAGCTCCCATAATTCCCATGTGTTGTGGGAGGGACCTGGTGAGAGATGATTGAATTATGGGGGTGGATGTTTCCTGTGCTGTTCTTGTGATAGTGAATGGGTCTCACATGATCTGATGGTTTTAGAAATGGGAGCTGCCCTACACAAGCTCTCATTTTTCCTGCTACTATCCATGTAAGATGTGATTTGCTCCTCCTTGCCTTCCACCATGATTGTGAGGCCTCCCCAGTCATGTGGAACTGTAAGTCCAATAAACCTCTTTGTTTTGTAAATTGCCCAGCCTTGGGTAAGTCTTTATCAGCAGTGTGAAAACAGACTAATACACCTTGGTAAAGATTGAAGACATGGGTTGTGATCTCTACTCCGTTACTAAAACTTTACAGGACCTAGAGCAAACTCTTTGCATCATCTTTTTGGTTTTCAATTTCATCATCAATAAACATAAAGGCTAAATCAAATGAGCTCTGGATTGAGTTCCAGATCCACTATTCTGTGCTTATTTGTCCCAAGGACTATATGCTTCTTATAGCTGATACTCTCACAAAGAACCAGAAGGAAGATTGCAGCAAATGCTCTTTCTCCACCATAGATAGCTACCAAGGGACCTTGAACTACATTAATCCTGGGCAATATAAGCACAGTCATTGGTTTTCAAGACAAACACCACTCAAAAGCTAGGGAGAGTCCATCAGTGATCCCCATATTGAGTCTTCCCCCACTGTATTCTACCTTCCTGAACCTCACATCTCCCTTACTCACACCTGCCATTGCCCCTGAGCAAAACTTGACCTGCTTCTTGAAATCCCACTGCTCTGTCCCTAATATTTCCTCCTACCAACCTTTCTCCCTGACACTCCCTTCCTCAACTTCCCTAATCCCATGGGACCCACTCACTATAGTGCACCCCAGCTCCTGATGGTATCTGCTACCAGAAGTATCCTCATTCTTTCTTTCTTTTTTTTTGACAGGATTTTACTCTTGTTGCCCAGGCTAGAGTGCAGTGGCACGATCTTGGCTCACTGCAACCTCTGCCTTCTGGTTTCAAGCGATTCTCCTGCCTCAGCCTCCTGAGTAGCTGGGATTACAGGAGCCTACCACCATGCCCAGCTAATTTATGTATTTTTAGTAGAGACGGGGTTTCACCATGTTGGCCAGGCTGGTCTCGAACTTCTGACCTCATGATCCACCTGCCTTGGCCTCCCAAAGAGCTGGGATTACAGGCGTGAGCCACTGTGCCCAGCCAGTATCCTCATTCTTTAGCTTTGCAGAACTGAAGTAAGAAGTGACTGTGGCATCAGGGAGGGAGGGTAGAAGTCAGATGGAAGGGAAGGGAGAAGGAGAGAAAGAAGAAACAGAGGCAGGCTGAAGAACTGAGCAGAGAAAAGAGAAAGAACAAAAAAGACCTCAGAGGAAGACTCACCGGCTCACAAGGAAAGCCATCTCTGTGCATCCCAGGCCAATCTCTTCACAGGGCTTGGAGAAACCTCCCAACCAGAGCTCACTCCCACAGTCTATGCTCACTGCTTCCCTGCATCAGCTCCTCCTGTGGCAGCATGGTCCCCCTGCGTTTCTGCTCCCCACTGAGCTCTCTGGGATTCACAAATCAGTGCCCTAGGGAGGGCTTGGAGAGCCTAGCACGTGGGGATCTTACACAGGGGCCAGGAAAGGGATGTAGGACTCAGGAAGAGACACTGAACAAAGGCTGTGGCTCAGTCCTGGAAATGGGAGCGTGTGCTTGTCCATTGCCAGCCTCTCTGCCTCTCTAGGTTGTGTGCCCTCACTGGCCTTAACTCTTTCCAGTCAGGGAAGACTAGGAAAGAGTTGGAAGAGGAAATATTGTAGAAGAAAGAAGAGAACTCAGGTACATCAGGGCCACCAAGAAACAGGGGCTCTGGGTCTCCCAGGGACATAAGGAGAAGGATTAGGAGCTGACCAGGCTTGCTACACAAAAGATTCCAGGGTTGATCCTCTGAGAGTTGAGAAAAACAGAAAGTGGGATCTCAGTGCAAACTTCAAGCTTCAAAGATGCCACCCATCATCTATTCAACTTTTTTTTTCTTTTGGCTAACCCTTTACACTTCTTTCAAGTCTGCGAATAATTATCAAGTTCCCACAGTGTGCCTTATTCTACATAGTGCTGGCAATCTGGTCAACTTCCTTTGTATTTCTCCTCTGCTCAGCTTTTCAGTGGATCCTCTTCATTCTCCTTCATTCTCACTGCAGCCCAGACCCACTTCCTCCCTTCCCTGAGCTTCCCTTGCCTATCTCCCTCCTCATCACCCAATCCCATTTCCTGCAAGAAGAGGCAATATTATTAATCTGTCTCATCTACCATAACCACCACCTGGTTTGTGCAATAGCATTTTCTGGATGTTTCCTCTCCTGGCAGCCAGGACTGACAATGTCACCTGCCAGGGGCCTGGAAAGCCAAGCCACAACCTTCTTAACCAATTAGAGGCACTGCAGAGAAGCAGCAGGAGTCAGGGCACTTGCACCCAAGAATGATAGATATATTTATTCACCACATATGTATGGATATAGTTAGAGAAACAAGCCTCAAGGCACAACGATTGACTGAGGTTAGACATTCGGCCACTTGAGAGAATGAGGAGGTGGAAGCACAGAAGTTAAAAGTCATCTCTCTCCCATTTGCTTCAACCTCAGCATGCCTGAAAAAAACATGGTTGATAATATACCAGTCAGTGACCAAGCCCTAATGAAATGACTGACTTACCAATACTGACTTCTCAGGAGGCTGATTTAGAGCCAAAGTAACTGCTGAGTTCTGAATAAGCAGCACACCTGGTCTGCATAATAAGATCCATTTTGCAATCACCCTCTTCAGAAAGCCAAATAATAGGTCAAAAGGTGGTTTAGAACCCAAGCAGCGGAAATAACACAGTTGAGGACTCTGTCGACCATAGGCACCCTGATGGACCTAAATAAATTACTCAACTTTTCACGAGAATATTTTACCTAATAACTGGAACTTATCATCCAGAACAATGTTTTCTGCCTCTTTGTTTTTCAGTTCATGATATTCCTGTGGACTGGCTTTACTCCTAATTTCCGACCCCAATAAGATCCTGGTCTAGTTCTTGGTATCTAGACCTAATTCCCCATTTGCATAAAAGAATACAAATGATAAACATAGAAACCCTGACCATCCTTGACTCCAAGGGTAAAAATACTGCCCTAGGCAATCATGATGCCTCTTATTTACTGCCTTTCAAATAGAAACTTTCTAAAGCAGCCATTGGGAAATAGTTCATTTTTGCAATGGACCACAGATACCTATACACATTGGGCTTATCATTTTGATCTTTATTCAGCTCCTAAAAATAGTCAATTTGAAAAATGGGGTTTGCATTGACAGTTTTATATTATTGATGCCAATTTGGAATTTTATACTTGATAATATTTATTTGTTGAATGAATTTGAACGAGTGGTAGAAGACTCTTCTGGCTGGAGCACTTTTAAGTCTTGCACTAGCATGGGTCTGGAAATGAACTGAAGGAGGACTAGAGATAAGTACAGGGGTGCGTCCCAATTGTGAATGAGAATGCAGGCCATATACTCTTTGGAGAATCACCATTATGGGCCCTCTGGCAGTATAAATGAGGCCATTGTAGAGTTATTCTTCTGTATTATCCAAAGAGAGGACCTAAAACAAATTAGTGAAATAAATACTGTAGGATTTCTGCTAGATGATGAGGCTTTTAATTCTTCCTGTTTCTGGGATGGCCTGGCTGGGCCTCCTTAGGAACTCAGCTCATTCCCCATTCCTCCTTGACACTGGATATGCATTCTTTGCATTCCTTGGCTTTCTCTCTGGTGTTCTATAGAAAGTAAATGAGTCACAGTTCCTTCAGTTCTTTCTTTTAGCCAGTCTATAGCACTCTACTGGTCATCAAAAAAGATCCAAAAGTGATCAACATGACCCTTTCTTTTTTTTTTTTTTTTTTTTTTTTGAGAAGGAGTCTAGCTCTGTCGCCCAGGCTGGAGTACAGTGGTGTGATCTCGGCTCACTGCAACCTCCGCCTCCTGGGTTCAAGCGATTCTCCTGCCTCAGCCTCCCAAGTAGTTGGAACTACAGGTGTGCGCCACCACACCCAGCTAATTTTTGTATTTTTAGTAAAGATGGGGTTTCACCAAGTTGGCCAGGATGGTCTCGATCTCTTGACCTCATGATCTGCCCACCTCGGCCTCCCAAAGTGCTGGGATTACAGGCGTGAGCCACCACACCCAGCCACACGACCCTTTCTAAGGAAGTGAAGATGGCACATGGAGACCAAGTACAGAAAGGACTACTGGGGGTCTTGGATGGCCCTCCAATGCTGTTGTCTCTCCAGTTCCTCTTGGATAATTCTGGTGTCCATGAATTATTATGTTGCCACATTTGGATGCCCCATAAGGGTCACTTGAGAAAATCATGAAATCTGGGAAAGGAAGGGCAAGTCATAGAATCCTGCCACTATAGAATAATGTCTGACAACCAAGTGATACATTCTGTTTAAGTAGGCACCAAACTGTCGGCAAAAGCCCCATTTTCGAGTTGGCCAGTTCTGGCAATTTTCTGTGTCCATTCTGCATGCCACTCAACTCCTCTAATGAATTCTTATTCCTTTTCAAGCCTTCTGTATTCCTTCTTATCATACTGGACACTTTGACCTCTGGTGTCCTAGAACTCCTGCTTCCCATGACTTCCATCTCCAATTCCAATAAACACCTTCTTTTTAAAAATTTCCTGATATTACCCAGTAGCTCTCATCCCTATTTCCCTTTGAAGTACTCATGTTTTTTATGATCCCTTCTCCCAACACTTTTCTTGCCTTCAATGTATTTTTAATGACTGGTGACCTCTTACCTCTCCTTCTTTTACTTTAACCTCTAACTTCTCCTAATCAATATGCCTTAAAACTCTTTCAGTGAAGGCAAAATGATGAAGAAAGTAGAAATATCAGTGGTTTCCAGAGGTTACAGCAGGAGTATGGGGTCAGAGAAGGAATGATGAATAGAAAGCACAGAGAACCTTGGGGCAGTCACACTATTCTGTATGTACTAGGATTCACTTGTCCAAACACATAGAATATATAGTACCAAGAGTGAGTCCTGAAGTAAACAATGGACGTTGGGTGATAATGATATGTCAGTGTAAGTTTATCAGTTATAACAAATTACCACTCTAATATGGGATGTTGTTAGTAGGAGAGTCCACCTAGGGAGGAAGGGCAGGAGGTATACAGAAAACCTCTCTACTCTCTGTTCAGTTTTACTATTTAAAGAAAAGGAAAGAAGAAGAAAACTTCAAATACCTCCCTATAATCCTATACTAAATGATACTCTAGCTATCTTGCCCCCTCTTAATTACCAGAAGTTTCTAATCTCTACATATGTTAAGTACTCAAAAAATATTTCAAAAAATCAAATATCAAAAATAAATTACTCAAGCTACGTCTCACAAAAAAGTATCTTTCTTTCCCAGTTATGATTTTTCTTCCTTCTTCTGATATCCTCACAACTGAACATTTCCTTCGAATACACCCACCCACCCATAAATGACCAATCTTTCTCTTTTTTTTGTTGTTTTGGAGATGGAGTCTCGCTCTGACTCCCAGGCTGGAGTTCAGTGGCATGATCTCGGCTCAATGCAACCTCCACCTCCCAGGTTTAAGCAATTCTCCTGCCTCAGCCTCCAGAGTAGCTGGGACTACAGGCATGCACCACCACGTCCAGCCAATTTTTGTATCTTTAGTAGAGATGGGGTTTTTCCATGTTGGCCAGGCTGGTCTTGAACTCCTGACCTCAGGTGATCTGCCTGCCTCAGCCTCCCAAAGTGCTAGTATTACAAGCCTGAGTCACCGTGCCCGGCCCAAATGACCATCTTTCTTACCACTCATCCACAAAGCTCACAAAACGAGAAGCTGCTCAAAACACTGAGATGCCCCTCTAGGCTGGTAACAGCGTGACTTAGAATAAGTCCTCCAACTTTTCTAGCTTTCTCACCGAAAAATGGGCCTGTGGCAGCACAGTTTTATGAGTAACTAAGATATGGGATGTAGAAAGACCCTAGAAGAGGAAAAAAAACACAACAATGGTCATTGTTAAAACAGGGGACTACATTTGTCCTTGGTTCCACCACTGTCCCACAGCCCCAGCTGGTAGTTTGGCTTCTCCCATGCAGCCTCCCTCTTAGGCCCAACCATAGTATCAAAACTCTCAACAGCTATCCCAGACCTGCTGGGTCATCCCTCACAACAGAAACTCAGTGTTTGGGTAGAGTGGAGAGGCTTGTAGTGATCTTAACTTTCCTGAGAATGCTCAGCCTAATTATGTCCCGGGTATAGAATCCAACCTCATCCTTGAAAAACTGAAAGCTGTCCACAGCTATAATCCTAAAATATTTTATTGGAATCTTAAAAGCAGACATATGTTCATTACAACATCCACTGCTCTGTTAAGTACTCCATCTGGCATGGCACAGAATATGGCAACAATGTCCAAGCTGAGAGACAAATCAACAGTGCAATTACATTCACAATAGCCACACACACACACACAATACCTAGGAAAGCAGCTAGACAGAGAGATGAAAGACCTCTACAACAAGCAAGCATTACAAAACACTGCTGAAGGAAATCAGAGACAACACACACAAAAAATGGAAAAAACATTCCATGTTCATGAATAGGAAGAATCCGTATTATCCAAATGGTTATATGACCCAAAGTAACTTACAGATTCAATGCTATTCCTATTAAACTACCCATGACATTTTTCACAGAACTAGAAACAACTATTCTAAAATTCATATGTAACCAAAAAAGAGCACAAATAGCCAAAGCAATCCTAAGCAAAAAGAACAAAGCTGAGGACATCACATTATCCAACTTCAAGCTATACTACAAGGTTACAGTAACCAAAATAGCATGGTACTGTTACAAACACAGATACATAGACCAATGGAACAGACCAGAGAACCCAGAAATAATGCCGCACACCTACAACCATCTTATCTTCAACAAAGTCAACAAAAATAAGCACTCACTATTCAATAAATGGTGCTGGGCTAACTGGCTAGCCGTATTAGGAAGATTGAAACTGGACCCTTTCCTTTCACCATATGCAAAAGTCAACTCGAAGTAAATTAAAGATTTAAAAGTAAAACCTAAAACTATAAAAACCTTGGGAGAAAATCCAGCAAATACCATTCTGTACATACAAATGGGTGAAGATTTCATGATAAAGTTGTCAAAAGTAATGGAAACAAAAACAGAAATAGACAAGTGGAACTTAATTAAACTAAAGAGCTTCTGCACAGCCAAAGAAACCATCAAGACAGTAAATAAACAGCCTACAGTATGGGAGAAAATGTTTGCAAACTATGCATCTGACAAAAGTCTAATATCCAGAGCTTATAAGGAACTTAAAGAGAAAAAAAATTTTTTTTAAATGGGCAAAGGACATGAACAGACACGTCTCAAAAGAAGACATACATGTAGCCAAGAAGCACATGAAAAAAATGCCCAATATCACTATTCATTAGAGAAATGCAAGTGAAAACCACAGTGAGATACCATCTCATATCAGTCAGAATGACTCAAAAAATAACAGATGCTGGAAGCATCGTGGAGAAAAAAGGAATGCTTACACACTGCTGCTGAGAATGTATGTTAGCTCATACATGCTGCTGAGAATGTATGTTGAAAGTGGTTTGGAGATTTCTCAAAGAACTTAAAACTGAACTGCCATTTGACCCAGCAATCTCATTACTGGAAATATACACGAAGGAATATAAATTATTCTACCATAAAGAGTCATGTATGTGTATGTGTTCACAATAGCAAAGACATGGAATCAACCTAAATACCTATCAACAGTGGACTGGAGAAGAAAAATGCATGGTACTTATATACCATGGAATACTATACACCCATGAAAAATGAAATCATGGCCTTTGCAGCAACATGGATCCTGATGGAGACCATTATCCTAAACAAATTAAAGCAGGATTGGAAAACCAAATGCTGCATGTTCTCACTTGTAAGTGGGAGCAAAACATTGAATACACATGACCACAAAGAAAGTAACAATAGACACCAGGGCCTACTTGAGTTGGAAGAATGGCAGGATGGTGAGGGTCAAAAAACTACCTATTGGTTACTGTGCTCACTACCTAGGTGACAAAATCATTTGTACACCAAACCCCAATGACACGCAATTTACCCGTGTAACAAACCTGCACCTGTGCCCCTTGAAACTAAAATAAAAATTAGGGGAAAAAAAGGAGAAGAGAGATAAAAGGGCAAACAAAAAAATTGTTCAAAAAATGTTGGCAAAATTTTTTCAAATTCGATAAAAATAGCAATCCACATTATCAATACCACATCTACATACATCATAAACTGAGAAAAACAAAGATTTAAAAAGAAAAATCTGAAAACCCGCTGAAGTGGTAGAGACATATTGCATAATAAGGAATAACAATAAAAATGACTGCCAACATCTCAACAGAAACAAAGGGAGTCAGAAGGCTATGAATTATCTTTCAAATGTGAAGAGAAAAAAAATCTGCCAACTTAGAATTACCCAGTGGGGGAAAATAATCTTTCTTAAATGAAGGCAAAATAAAGCCATCTGAAATTAAAAAGAAGCTGAGAAAATTTGTTGCCAGAAGATACTCACTAAAAGAATAAAAAAGGATAAAGGAAGTTTTTCAGGCTATAGAGAAATTATAATATTTGGAGTTTCAAATCTATGAGAAGGAACGAAAAACTTTCAAGATTGGAAACATAAAAGTGTATATAAAAGTTATCTTCTTCCTTTTCTTAAATTCATTAAAAGTCTAAAAATAATGATAATATATTACAAGGGTTGTAACATATGTAAAGTAAAACACGGCAATAGCTGCACAAAGAATGGGAGGAATTATAACTAATTTTATTATTATCAGATTTTTATATTCTATGTTAAAGGTATTGTATTAAGTCAGAGTAGACTCTTATAAGTTCAGGATCCATATGGTATCCCCAAGAAAAAAACTTGCACTTTAAATATAAAGACAGCTTAATCATAAATACACTTATAGATTAAAAATAAAATTATAATATAAATTATGAAATAAATAATAAATATAAATTAATATATATACATTAAAAATAAAATTCACCAGATATGGTGAATTAAAGAGGACAGCAAATCCTTCCTTCCTCCACCTCACAAATAAATTATAAAACCAGAAAAATTGTCAAAAACAATCATTTCAGGTGTCTGGAAATAAACCAAGGCAAATAATAAATTGAGAACCACTTTTTCATAAAGCAGTGCTAGAAGCTTAGGTAAGAATCATAGGTAACTGTGCCTGTCCTGTGAAAAGTGCTCCAGTACTACTCCAACTTAGTTGATGGTAGTTTTGCCAGTCAGGAATGGCCATGAAAATCAACAATTACACTATTAAAGAGGGTTGAGATGATTTGGAACAAAGATAAAAACTCATGCCTAGGGTTTATGTCAGTAAAAGTAACAAACTCAATCGTGTTTAAGGCTCAGGTATCCAGAGGTTACAGTTTTAATGAGGCGAACAGTGAACCTATCAGAAATGTAATGGGAAGATGCTGGGAATTAGATAGCTATAGAAGAATTAGATAAGATCTCTACACATTCCTGGCTGACTGGGAAACTACAGGTATGTACAGAAGAAACATGAGAGAAACCAGCATGAAGTAAAATCCAAGACAAACTTAAAAGCTCTCTGAATTTGAATATGGTCCCAGCACAAAGGCAGATGCATTAGCAGAGAATGGAAGCCTTTTGAAATCAAAAGTATTTGACCAAAACCTTCACCCAATCATTGACTGAACACTAAGCTGTGCAAGAACAAGGGAAACTTCTGGGATCCAAGATTTTAAAATATGAATTTTTAAGAGCTAGGTTGAGACCATGGAAGCCATAAATGGTGGAAGATACACAGTCCACAGATTATGTCCAATAATGTTAACAAAATAATTCTTAGAAAAAAATAAGAATATAAACTTGTCAATATAGTATCTAAAATGAGACATGCAAAGAAACAGGAAAGTATAATCAAGTCTTAGAGAAAAGACTGCAGTTAATGGAAACTGACTGTAAGTGGGACTGCTGTTGAATTTAGCAAACAGAGATTCAAAACATCTAATATAAATAGTTAAATTAAAACCATTTTTAAAGAATTCATGGACAATATAGTCTTTCATTGGGTAGGGAAGATCCACTATCAATATAGATGGGTATCATCCAATCAGCTGGGGCCCAGATGGAAAAAAAAGGCATGAAAGGATGCTCTTTATCATTGGTTATTAAGAACATGAAATTAAACACAATACTTACAAGTCTACTAGAATGACTATAATAAGAAACTGATGGTATAAGATGTTGACAAAGATGTGAAATACTGATTAAGTGTTGGCAAGAATATGTCAAAATTGACAGAGCCACTTTGGAAAACAATTTGGCAGGTTTTTTATAAAAAAAATTTACTATACAACCCAATAATTCCACTGTCAGGTAATATCCAAGACAATTTAAATCATATGCCTTCAATGACTCTTCATAAGAACATTATTAGTAACACCCAAAAAGTAGAAACAATCCAAATGTCATCAACTGGTGAGATCAGTGGAACTGAATAGAAAGTGCAGAAATAGAGCCAAACACATAAGATCTATTGATTTTACACAAAGACACCAAGATAATTCAATACAGGAAACGATATTCTTTGCAACAAATGGTACTGGAGGAACCAGATATAGGTATAAAAACTGTACCATTATGATTTGTTTAAAAAAGCAGCCATTTTTTTTATCGCTTCTCGGCCTTTTGGCTAAGATCAAGTGTAAAAAAGCAGCCATTTTCATAATATTTTATTATATGTATGAAAATGAATTATGACTCCTATATCACAACATACAAAAAAATTAACATGGGTCATATAAATAAACATATAAGCTAGAAATTAAAAGCTTCTAAAGAAGAACATAAAAGAAAATATTTATGACCTTAGAATAGGTAAAGATTTCTTAGGATTCAAAAAGCACTTAACTGCAAAAAGATAATTGATGAATTTTGAGTTAATCAAACTTAAAAGCTTCTTCTCCTTTGAAGACGCCATTCAAATTGAAACATCAAACCACAGACTGAAAAAATAGCACAGTGCATTTATTTGACAAAGGACTTTTATGCAGAATATATGAAGAACTCATATACTTTTATCATAAAAGGAAACACTATAAAATATGGACAAATGACTTGAACAGACACCTCACAAAAGAATATATAAATGACCAATGAAAAGATGCTCAATGACTTAGTTGTTGGATAATTGTAAATTTAGAAACTACTGTGAGATTAATAAGTCTAGAGATCTAATGTATAGCCTGAGGACTACAGTTGACAACATTGTATTATATACTGGAAATTTCTAAGAGAATAGATTTTAAGTACTCTTACCACAAGAAAAGTAACTGTGAGTTGATAGATATGTTAATTGGCTTGACCATAGTAATCATTTAACTATGTATATCAAAACATCATTTGGGAGGCCGAGGCGGGTGGATTGCCTGAGCTCAGGAGTTCGAGACCAGCCTGGGCAACATGGTGAAACCCCCTCTCTACTAAAACACAAAAAAGTGGCCGGGTGTGGCAGCATGCGCCTGTAATCCCAGCTACTTGGGAGGCTGGGGCAGGAGTATCGCTTGAACCCAGGAGGCGGAGGTTTTAGTGAGCCGAGATCGTGCCATTGCACTCCAGCCTAGGAGACAGAATGAGACTTGTCTCAAAAAAAAAAAAAAAAAAAAAGGAAATCCTGTATATCCTAAGCATATACATATACAACAAAAAATTTTCAAAATTAGCCTGGCTTGGTGGCTTACACATGTAACTCAGCACTTTGGGAGGCCTAAGCAGGTGGATCACCTGAAATCAGGAGTTCGAGATCAGCCTGGTCAATGTGGTGAAACACCGTCTCTACTAAATATACAATAATTAGCTGGGCATGGTGGTACATGTCTATAATCCCAGCTACTCAGGAGGCTGAGGCAGGAGAATCACTTGAACCTGGGAGGCGGAGGTTCCAGTGAGCCGAGATCACACCACTGTACTCCAGCCTGGGCGACAGAGTGAAACTCAGTCTAAAAAAAAAAAAAGCCGGGCACGGTGGCTCACGCCTGTAATCCCAGCACTTTGGGAGGCCGAGGTGGGCGGATCACGAGGTCAGGAGATCGAGACCATGGTGAAACCCCGTCTCTACTAAAAATACAAAAAATTAGCTGGGCGTGGTGGCGGGCGCCTGTAGTCCCAGCTATTCGGGAGGTTGAGGCAGGAGAATGGCGTGAACCCGGAAGGCAGAGTTTTCAGTGAGCCGAGATCGCGCCACTGCACTCCAGCCTGGGCAACAGAGCAAGACTCCGTCTCAAAAAAAAAAAAATTAAATTAAAAAGCTATAAAAGCTATAATGAGATATCACCTGATATCCACTAGAATGTCTATCACATGACCCTGAAATTCCACAAATAGGTTTTGACCAAAGAGAAATGAAAATACACATACACAAAAGACTTGTACATGAAAGTTTATAGCAGATTGATTCACAACAGCAAAAACTGGAAACCACCCCACACTGTTTCTCTATTACAGCATAAAAAGTTATCCCAAAACTTAATGGCTTCAAACAACAAATATTTATTATCTCACAGTTTCTATGGGCCAGCAATTCAGAAGCAGCTAAATAGTAGCTGGTGATTCTAGCTTAGGATCTTTCTTTTAACTTTTTAAAAACTTTTTGTGAATACATAGTAGATGTATCTATTTTAGGATCTTTCTTGACATTGTAGTCAAGAAGTCAGCTGATTGTATTTCTAAGATTTGGATGAAGCTGAAGGATTCACTTACAAGATGTCCCAGTCACATGTTGCACGTTTTTAGTAGGGAGCCTTAGTTTCTCCCCATATGTGTGTTTCCATTCACTGCTAGGATGGCTTCCTCCAAAGTAAACAATCCACAAAGAAGAAGTCACAATGTTACTGTGACATAGTCTTTGATGTCACATCCCATCGTTTCTACCAGATTCTATTTGTTAAAACTGAGTCACTCAGTACAGCTCCCATGCAAAGGTAAGGGAAGTAGGCTCTACTTTGTGAAGGGGATATAAGAAAATTGGGGGCCATATTTTAAAACAACCACAAACCTGAATGTTCATCAACAAGTGAATGGATGAAAAAATTGTGATATATTTAGGCAAGAGAATACTACTCACTGATATTTTTAAAAAAGAATTGGACTATTGATACACAAAACAACAGGGATGATTCTCCAAACTGTGGTACAGAGCATAACACACCAAACACAAAGAGTATGTGCTGAATGAATCTTTTATGTGAAGTTCTGGAAAAAGCAAAACAAAATGATAGAAATCAGAGCAGTGGTTGCCTAGAGCATGGGGAGAATTATTGTAAATGGGCATGATGAAATTTCTGGAGTGATGGAAATGTTCTATATCTTCAGTAGGGTAATGGTTGTCTGGATGTATACATTTGTTCACATTCAGTGAATTGTCCATTAAAATATGTGCACTTCATTATGTAAATTATACCTTAATTTTAAAAAGAGAAAGGAAATAAACCAAAGTCAGGGGGGATTGAATGAGCACATTCGAGGCTTGAGAGGAAGGCTGGAAATATGGGACACTCAGAAGGTGTGGATCAGGAGAGAATAGTGCCCTTTTACTCCCCAGTGACACGGAGAAGCAGTGGTGACCTTTTTATATGCCAAAGGGAACTCAGTTGCTGGCACACTTCCTTTGAATCTTCACATTCCTTCTTAACCATTAGTAGCTGTGGCCAATTAGCTGTCTATAGGTTATGGGGCACCTAGTCTTGGCAGAATTAATGAGCTACTTCTCTCTATGGGATGGGAGTCTTGGGATTCCTCCCCCCATCATCTCACTATGCCTTTTTTTCTGCCTTTAATGTCACTAAAAGAGAGGTTAACTTACTGGATTGAGGAAAAGAAGTCGTTAGCAAGAGTTCCATAGTAAAGCGCTAACTCTAGCTCATGTGTCTGGCAGAGCAATGGTGGAATGTGGTTAGCGCATAGCTTCTTCAGCCAGCCCACCTGGGTTAAAATTTGGTCTTTGGTGCTTACTAGCTATACTTTCCAGAACAAGATATTCAACCTCTACATGTCTTCAATTATTGATCTGTAAGGGAAGGTAATAATAGTACCCACCTTTTGAAGTTATAAGGAGCCGTAAATATGAAGCGCTTTTTTGAGTGCCCATGGAAGTAAGCACTAGCAATCAATACTCTTAACTGAAATCCAAGTTCCAATAATCATCAAGAGTATAACATTCCTCTTTAGTTTGCTTTTAGTTCTCATTGTGAGATCACAAGTGGAGGCTCCAACCAGTCCAGAAGTTCCTTTCTATGGGGAAGCTGTGGCAGCAAGGCCGTGAAGAGAGTCTGACTTAATTGCAAGTAAGTCACAAGTTTATTCCCCTACAGCCCATCAATTTCCACATGTTCTTAAGACAGTTCTGAATCAAACAGGGTCTACAATCCTGGCACTGACACTCATTGGCAGGGTAACCCTGGGCAAGTTACTTAACCTCTTTGAGACTGTTTGTTCTTCTGCAGAGATATTAACTGTCTAGCAGGGTTCTTTTAAGAAGCAGATATTCCAGGAAATTATTTAGCACAGTGTTAGTATATAGGACATCAACAGATAGTAACTGTCAAAACTATAAGTGGTTATTATTATTGAACTGTAGGGCAGAATTTGTCTCATAACTTTGTAGCAGTTAGTACATGACTGGCTCTTTGAGGACCAAAAAAGAATAAATTAATGTGCTTCTGTGTGGAGTTAATGGGATGTAGGGAAAGTAGTGCTTGCCTATTATTGGTGTCAGAGAAAAGGACCAGAAGAAACAGGGTAAGGAAAAGGCATGTTATTAAAGATAGAAAATAGGAGAGTGCAGAGGGTCAAAGGAAGATATAAACTGAAGAGATTAAGAAAAAACATACAGTGAGACAAGTTGCCAAGAGAGTAAGAATGTAAGAAATGCTGCAGTTTATGGATGAATAAAACTCTGGACAATTGCTGAGACACAAAAGATATGAGGCTGCAAAGTTTAAAAAGGAACGATACATTTAAAATAATCAGAATAGTGTTTACTTCTTCAGTGGGAGAGAAGGAGATGTGATCAGGGAGGAGAACACAGAAGACTTCTAAGATACCAGTAATATTTGATCTGTTCTTAAATCAGGAGGAGATTCAGGTACACCATGTGTTTATTATTCCATAAAATCCATAGATGTGTTTTATATACTTTTTGTTTATATGATTTTTAAAAAATTAAGGGAACAAATCTTATCCTCAAGGAGAGACGTAATGATGGAGGAAGGAATATAGAAGGA
The DNA here is from genome assembly GCF_000001405.40 of Homo sapiens. Lineage (NCBI taxonomy): Eukaryota > Metazoa > Chordata > Mammalia > Primates > Hominidae > Homo > Homo sapiens. Next base: position 725,032 of record NT_167245.2, read on the forward strand.
GACAAAAAGGAGGGAGTCTTGATGAAAAGGGAGATGGGAGGCAGCTTTTAACACCAGACAGGGTCCTGTGATGCAGAGGTGATTGTGCCATCCCATAAAGTCCCAGGGCACTGTCTGCCAATGAGACCACCAACTTGCTTGCCCTAAATGGCCACATCCCCTAAACGGCCCTCCTGCCATTGTCTGTGCTCAGAAAACCCTCAGTTTCTGCCTCTTACCTGCCAGGGTGGTGCCGCATCCCACCCCCATCATTGAGCTTGCCTCATGTGTCTCAGCACAGTCTTTTACAGCAAAAATGCATGTCACCTCCTCCTAAAGGCTTTCCGTGGCCCACCCACCCAGATTCCTCCTTTATTGTGCAGACTCTTTCCTAACCCACACCTCATCTTAATTTATTTGCCTTCAATTCTGGGCGGCGGTGTTGGGGAGGGTCTCAATTTTCCCATGTATTTCCCAGTGTTTATTGAATACATGAGGCCATACTCTTCTAGTCTCTCTGCTTCTCATGCTAGGAACTGAACCGACCAGCCTATACTTTAAGGCTTGTTATTTCACTGACTAAGGAAAGGCTACTTAAGAGGGCAAGCTCAGACATACATAATCTGGAGTGGATCTTCCATGGGAAAACACGTATATAACAGAAATTATTGGCAAAACTATAAGTATGGTCTACAGAGTAAGTAATAATATTTTATTATTTATTTAGTTAGTTTTGAGACAGAGTTTCTCTCTCGTTGCCCAGGCTGGAGTGTAATGGCACGATCTCAGCTCACTGCAACTTCCACCTCCCAGGTTGAAACGATTCTCCTGCTTCAGCCTCCTGAGTAGCTGGGATTACAGACACCCACCACCACACCCCGCTAATTTTTTTTTTTTTTTTTTTTTTTTTTTGTAGAGACGAGGTTTCACCATGTTGACCAGGCTGATCTCAAACATCTGACCTCAGGTGATCCGCCCGCCTCAGCCTCCCAAAGTGCTGGGATTATAGGCGTGAGCCACCACACCCGGCCAATAATACTTTATCAATGTTGGCTTTCCTGTATTTAGTAACTGAGCTGTTTTTACACTAAAAAAAAATTCTATCTTAGAAACATGAAGAAGTGAAGAGGCATTATATATACAACTCACTGTTCAGTAGCTCAGGGTAAATATAATTGCATATGCAAAGATAAAGATGTAATGATAAAAATGTCAAGTGTTAGCACTTTACTAATATAGATAAAGAACATTCAGAAATTCTTTAAATTACTCTTAAAATTTGGGGGTATGAATTTTTATAAAAATAATGTTTTAAATCTTAAATAGTGAATAGAATTAAGAAAGTAACAAATTCTAATTCCTTCCTTTTTTTCTTTAAATTCTTCTAGATCCTGAATAATTTCTACTTAAACGTCCCAATATCAACTCTCTATTTTGCTATTGACATAATCTTATTTGAGAGGCAAAAAATTTTAAAAATTATATCATCTTTTTAATTTCTAAGCCCCAGAACAAGACAATTGGCAGCATTTTTTTCATGTCATTTTGCTACATTCTACATAATGTTAAGTTGAGGTTAGGGATTTTCATTTGTGGAGGAAGCTCTTACATTTAGTTTAATGAATCATAATTTTTTTAATGGAGAAGGAACAAAATACCTCATTGATTTTTCTATGAGTGGAGTTAATACACACAGCGGAGAAATCTCTTTGTTAATTCTACACTCTGCCTCTGATTGACACCTCTGCAAACAAAGATAAAGTAGATAAAACATGAATAATTCCAGGAAACTTATGCCCCAGAATACAGAATAATTTTGCATACATATGAATAGTAGGGCAATTCTATCAAATGATTCTTTTCTAATTCTTTATGGATGTACATAATGAAATATTCAGAACTACCACAACATTTAGAATAAGATAGAGCCTAACAATTTATTGTTGAATTAATGAAGATCGGTTAATTAATCCATGTTTTACATCAGCTTTCTTTGCCCTCAACCAGGAAGTCAGAGGCACCAATGTGAGGTTCCACCTGCTTTCCAGCACATTCTTGGTTTCCTCACTTCTGCTAGACAACGTTTGATCAGAAGGAACAGGGAACGAGAAGGAGCTGCTGGATGACGATAAGCCTGGGAAAGGGAGGCTGGGTGAGCAGAGACAGAAAAGAAACACCTACCTGCTGTGACCTCACAAACACCCAGGCTGAGTTTTGATAAGACAGGTTGAATCACACTGGGGTGACAGCCTCATCCCTCCAGGTACAAACAAGAACAGGCCATGGTTAACCAAAGCTCCCCCATGGGCTTCCTCCTTCTGGGCTTCTCTGAACACCCAGCACTGGAAAGGACTCTCTTTGTGGTTGTCTTCACTTCCTACCTCTTGACCCTGGTGGGCAACACACTCATCATCCTGCTGTCTGTACTGTACCCCAGGCTCCACTCTCCAATGTACTTTTTCCTCTCTGACCTCTCCTTCTTGGACCTCTGCTTTACCACAAGTTGTGTCCCCCAGATGCTGGTCAACCTCTGGGGCCCAAAGAAGACCATCAGCTTCCTGGGATGCTCTGTCCAGCTCTTCATCTTCCTGTCCCTGGGGACCACTGAGTGCATCCTCCTGACAGTGATGGCCTTTGACCGATACGTGGCTGTCTGCCAGCCCCTCCACTATGCCACCATCATCCACCCCCGCCTGTGCTGGCAGCTGGCATCTGTGGCCTGGGTTATGAGTCTGGTTCAATCGATAGTCCAGACACCATCCACCCTCCACTTGCCCTTCTGTCCCCACCAGCAGATAGATGACTTTTTATGTGAGGTCCCATCTCTGATTCGACTCTCCTGTGGAGATACCTCCTACAATGAAATCCAGTTGGCTGTGTCCAGTGTCATCTTCGTGGTTGTGCCTCTCAGCCTCATCCTTGCCTCTTATGGAGCCACTGCCCAGGCAGTGCTGAGGATTAACTCTGCCACAGCATGGAGAAAGGCCTTTGGGACCTGCTCCTCCCATCTCACTGTGGTCACCCTCTTCTACAGCTCAGTCATTGCTGTCTACCTCCAGCCCAAAAATCCGTATGCCCAAGGGAGGGGCAAGTTCTTTGGTCTCTTCTATGCAGTGGGCACTCCTTCACTTAACCCTCTCGTATACACCCTGAGGAACAAGGAGATAAAGCGAGCACTCAGGAGGTTACTAGGGAAGGAAAGAGACTCCAGGGAAAGCTGGAGAGCTGCTTAATATACTTTCGAAAGTAAGAAGAGTTTCTTCAAGATTTATGAACATGTTAAGTTTTCCAGACTACTACCCTTCCCACATACACCTGAGCCACTGTGGTGGGTCACAGTGTGGCTATGTTATCTATGAGAGGGAGAATGAGAAAGAGAGGGACAGAGAGATAAAAGAAATTGGGTGAGAGGAGATAGGTAGCTCCATAAGGCACACAAATTCAAATATTATCATTCCTATCACTGTCCATTCTTAATATTTCTATCCTCCATTCTGTTCTTTTTACTGTCATCACTTCTATAGATTTCCTAACTCCACCATGCCTATTTCTGGTTATATAATTGCTCTCCAATTGTCATGTCAGTGTAGGGGAACTACTCCATCATAGCATTCTGGACACCTTGCATGTATCTACGTAGGTCATGTAAGCAAAGGCTTGAAGAACAGCTAATCTGAGATTTAGAAGAATGCTTTTTGATCCTCCTGGAATATGAGAGGATGGGAGGCCCTTTAGAACCTGCCTCAATGCCATCTCTCACTCTCCTTCTTATATCCCTGGGAGTATGTCATGTGACAAGTCTTTACTGTCTCCCAGGTTTTGGATGGAGCATGGGGTTTTCTGCCCCACACCCTTTAGGATATAGCTGAAGAATATAATGAGGAATAGCTGGATTCTAGAACTGACTCCTCACCAGTGGTATATTCCACAACAGTGTCACAGTCGTCTGGCCCCTTTGGTTTCCGTGTCATCCTTTTTGGTGTGTAGGACAAGGAGCCAGGGAATTGGCACGTTTGGCTTTTACTTCTTTTTTATATGTAAATAATAAGCCATCTAAGTGTAAAAGTGGCTCATATCTTCTCCAGCCAAATCAGCTAGGCCATGGCCTTGCCTTGCTTCTCATGAGTGTGCTTGACAGTCATCACCGTCACTCTATCTTCATTTCTGGTTCTTACCGTGTTAGCTTAGTTCATTCAAGCTACTATCACAAGCTACACATAAATTGGGTGGTTTATAAATAACAAACATTTCTTTCTTACAGTTCTGGAGGCTGGAAACTCCAAGATTAAGGCAGATTTCATGCCTATTGAGGGCCTGCTTTCTGATTATAGAAGGTGACTTCTTGCTGTGCCCACACATGGTGAAAGGGACTACCAACTCTCTGGAGTCTCTTTTATGAGGGCACTAATTCCAATTATGAAGCCTCTTCCCTCATGACCTAATCACTGCCCAAAGGCCCCATGTTCTAATGCCATCATCTTGGTGGTTTAGGATTTCAACATATGAATTTTGGAAGGACATAAGCATTCAACCCCCTGCACATGTCTTCTTTCCTACTTCCTCAAGGTTCTTTCTGTCCAGTTGCTCCTTCTTCTATTGACCCTTTTTTGCCTTCTCTTTCTCCTTCACTGCCTCAAGTTACAGCCAGAGGAAAGGAGGAACTAAAACTTAGCAAATCTATAATCACATGCAAATACACAGAATGGATTGTTACAACCAAAATGCAGGCTCTATTGTTTTCAATTTAGCAGCCTTTCAAATGTATATGGTTCTGGCCACATTAAAGTTGCAAATAACACTTTTTTTGAGACTGAAATAAAGGTGAAATATTGGAAGGAAAAGTTTAATGTTTTATTTGTAGTATTTTTTTCCATTTTCCACTAAAGAGTCCAGAAAAAAAAAGCAAACATAATATAACCTTTGAGTTATAACAGAATATTTCAACAAGAACTTTGTTGCTATCAAGTAACCATATAGTATAGGTTACACAGAACTCCTATCTTCTGGATTAAGACTCCGTCTTCAAAGTATTTGGGCACCCTGGTTACTGAACATGAGCCAGAAGAAAATGAACTGCTTTTCCTTAAGCATCTCTCTACCCCTGGGTCACCTCCAGTGGAGTGGTATGTCAAGAAATGTAATTTGTCCTTTCTGATGCCATAATCTACCATATTTTTTTAAATTAAGTCATGCCAGGAGGAGATTTCTCTGCTCCTCATCACATGTTTCCACCAGAAACATGGGCAGCTCCGCATCTTGGGCTTCACCACCTTTAAGGTGAGGTGGATGGTCTTCTTCTTGGAAATTTCATAAGACGATAGCATTTTCTTGGGCTTTGGGGTCTTAAAGCCCAGCAGAAAAACCAAGTCCTGCATGGGAACCTTGGTCTTAGACCAGAGCTGTTCACCTACCTTCTTCACTCCATTTTAGCAGCCAATGTCATTAATTCCCATTCCTCACAATTGACACTCATTTAGGCAATTCTATATAAAGTTAAAATATTCTTCAGAAACGAAGATGAAGTAAAGATATTCTCAGTGAAAGTAGGTATCACCAACTCATCTGATTTAAAAGAAATGCTTTTAAGCATGGATTGCACTGCTTCAGGCAGAGAGGAAATAAAACCAGAGGGAAAATCAGAATATCATGAATGAAAAAGGAACAACAGAAAGAGTAATTATCTGGGTAAATGCAATCGTATATTATTCTCTTTTTGAATTATTTAAAATATGTATCTCTGTTGGAACTAAAAAGTACAACACTGATGGGGATTCATACAAATGTAATACATATGACAATTACTGAATAAACTAATAATAATAAATGGATCTATTCATTCTAAGTAGACCATGAAAGGGTAAATATTTATATCATAATCCCTAAAGCAACAATTCCAATAAAACAAAAAACCATACTGTTGTTATAGGCGTTTGAACCAGAGTGACTCCATCTTGAGTAGTGGCTGGGTAAAGTAAGGCTGAAACCTGCTGGGCTGCATTCCCAAAAGGTTAGGCATTCTCAGTCAGAGGATGAGATAGGAGGTTGGCATAAGATATAGGTCACAAAGATCCTGCTGATAAAACAGGATGCTGTAAGGAAGCCGGCCAAAACCAAGATGGCAATGAAAGTGACCTCTGGTCCTCCTCACTGTTCATTATACTCTAATTATAATGCATTAGCATGCTGAATGACACTCCCATCAATGCCGTGACAGTTTACAAATGCCATGGTAATGTCCAGAAGTAACCCTATGTAATCTAAAGAGGGGACGAACTTTCAGTTCTGAGAATTGCCCACCGTCTTCCCAGAAAACTTATGAATAATCCACTCCGTGTTTAGTATATAATCAAGAAATAACTGTAAGTATACTCAGTTGAGCAGCCCATGCCACTGCTCTGTCTATGGAGTAGTCATACTTTATTCCTTTACTTTCCTAATAAACTTGCTTTCATTTTATGGACTCGCCCCAAATTCTTTCTTACATGAGATCCAAGAATCCTCTCTTGGGGTCTGGATTGGGGCCCCTTTCCAGTAACACAGTGACATCAACAAAAATAACAGAGTAATGACTTCCAAAAATGACCTACTTCCTAAGAGTAAAATGAACTATGGAAGAATTGTCAGAATTAATATTGTTTAGAACTCTAGAAATTAACCAAAGGCTTGCTGCAATCTGGGGAGTGTTTGTTCAAGAATAATAGCTGAATCTTGATAAGAACAGTGAGCTCTGTGATGTTTTAACTGGTTCCACTCCTGTTCCTTCCTCCTCAGCTCTTAAAAACCAACGGTCCACAATCATGGTGAAAACCAGCAGACATGAAATCACTGGAGGGGACACAATAGGGTTACAGATCCTTTAATCCCTTATTTCCAGAGGACTGTTATTATTTTACCTGTCTGGTTGTTCCCTAGAACTCACAATGCTATCCTTATTTGACTTGACTCAGAGCTATCCCAGAGAGAACAATGTATTTCCTGGGGAAATGAGTAAAAAGAATCATAGGCAGTTGTTGAACATCATGGTTGCCGACGGTCATAAATAACAGTTGGAACAAACAATAGCCTAACCAAGAACTTAAAAACGAAATGTCAGGGAATGAGATGCCCATAAAGGGGATTGAAAAGCCTTAATATACTCCAGAAAGTTCCGACGGCCACATGCATGCATAGATGTGGGCATGACAAGTGCTGCATATATGCTTTGAACAGACCTGAGCAGGCTCTAAGCTCTAACCCTGAATAAGTTTGAGGCACTGCACAGACAGGAAATGAAGGCTAGGACACAGTGTAAACTGCTTGGTTGGGCTTTGAAGACCTGTATCTACCTGCACACAGAGCCTCTCTACATACACTGGGAGACATTACTTCCAGGAACCTAAGGAAATCTTTGTCCAGTCTTTACCTGGCCACTAAGCTAACCAAGCAGAGACTTCAGTGGCCACGTTGAACAACAACAACAACAAAAACAAAACAAAACAAAAAAACAAAAAAGAACAGACTTGACAGATAGTTTTTAAAAACCTGATCAAAAAACATCCACTAGCAATAGTAAAATCTGGGAACAGAAAAAATATGACTTCCAGAGTTGCCACATTATACTGTTTAAAATGCTAAGTTAAAAAAGAAAGAACGAAATAATACAACATGCAAAGAAACAATAAAGTAAGGCCCATACACAGAAAAACAAGCAGTTAGTAGAAACTGTCTCTGGGACCAGGCTCTGAAGGAGGTGTCTGCCTCAGTGCATCCAAAACAGCCAGGTAACCTTTGCTTTGGGACTGAAGTAATGGCTCTGATTCTGAGATGAGAGCTCACACTAGCCCTTAATTTAATCTTTACTTGAGGTGAAATTCAATGGATTATTAGAATGGGCCCTAATCCAGTAGGACTAGTGTCCTTATAAGAAGACGAGATTAGGATACAAACACCACAAGGGACAACGATGTGAGGACACAGGGAGAAGATATCCATCTAGGAGCCAGGGAAAGAGTCCTCAGAAGAAACCTATCCTGCCCACTCCTTGATCTCAGACTTCCTGCCTCCTAGAACCGAGAGAGAATAAACTTCTGTAGTTTAAGCTACTCGGTTTGTGGTCTCAGTCACGGGAGTCCAAGCTGATGATCACAGTTGTGATGAGAACTTTACAAATTGAATCATGGGAAGTCTTGCAATAGTGAGATCTACGACCTGGTAGATCCTATAATCCTATAATCTGAGATGCTGATTCTACAACTCTGAGCTGCTAACGCTTTGCTTCTGGGTCACAGAAGCTTCTGGAAATAAACTTGTCCCACAAACTGATAAATGCCTGTGATTTTTCTAGAAATATGCCACAGGCAACCCTGGCATCTGCAGTCACATGTCAGTATATCAGTGGGGTTTCAGGAGAAGTTTAGGGATCAGCTCCAAGTGAACCTAGTGTTTCAATCTTCCCTCCTTGCTGGGATGATGGAGTCCCCTTCAGTCAAGGCTCTGTTGAAATGAAAGGGTCTGTTCCCAGTTCCACTCTTCCCACCCAGGGTTCTGGACTGTTAATGGTTGTCCTTTTTTTGTTTTCTTCCCGTTGATTCTTTTACCATCTTCCTCCTCTTACTGATTTTGCGTGAAGGGGGGTTTTGATGGAGGTAAGGTAGCTGATAAGAAATGAGGTAGTGAGAAAACTAGTGAGGGGTCTTCTGGCTGTCCCCAGACAGTCCTCGTGTGGTCCCCAGCCCAGCCTGCAGGTTCTGGGCTGGCTACCTCTTGGCCTCTGTGCTGTGTGTCTAGAGCTGGCCTCTAAGGGAAGGGCCCTGTGAGACCTGGCAGAACAGGGTAACTGGTCCAACAAACATCCCTCCTTTCCTCTGGCTCCACAGCTCAGGATTAGATCTAGATAGCATGTCCAGTAGGTGCCAGACTACCTCATTATATCCTGTGAGATGGGCCCAGAGGGCCTTGAGGTGGGTAAGCTTGAAGCTGGGCACCCAGAGCCTGAGACTGACAGTTCCTCCCTCCCTGTATCCTGCAGGAGGGGCCCTGTCCCAACAAGAGCCCCAGGGCCTGGCCTGAGGGTGTGGATGTGGGGAGAGGAGGGTCTGTGGGCCCAGGAGGGGGCATTTGTAGGGGACATTGAGTACTGCAGCTCAGAAGACATGAATGACAGGGTGGGAGGTGTCTTCCATGTCTGTCCATGGCACAGCACCCCTGTGATTCCCAAGGGCTGCCAGGGGCCCATTCATCTGAGCTCTTTATAGATCCTACATATGAGTCCTTCATCAGATGTGAGATTGAAACCACTTCCTCCAGCCTGGAACTTGCCTTTTCATTCTCCCCACAGGGTCTTTCAAAGTGCACACATCTTATATTTTGATGAAATCCAATTGATCAATTTTTTCTTTTATGCATCATACTTTTTGTATTCATCCAAGAAATATTTTCCTAACCATAAGTTACACTGATATTCTCTTTTCTTTTCTTACATACAGCTTACAGCTTTAGGTCTTACATTATGGTTTATGATAAATTCTGAATTAATTTTTATGTATGATGCCACGTATGGATTGAAGTTCTGTTCATATGTGCATATGTATATCCAATAATTCTAAGGACCGTTTGTTGCTAAGATTGTCCTTTCTCCACTGAATTTACTTTACACCTTCTTCAAAATCAATTGAAGATATATGTTAGGGTCTATTCTGGACCCTCTTCTGTTCTGTTGACCTATTTGTCCATCCTGTTACCAATATCACACCATCTGGATTTCTGAACCTTTATAATAAGCCTTGAAGTCGGGTATTATAAACTGTCTCACTTGCTTCTTCTTTTTTCAAAGTTTTTTTTTTTTTTTTTAACTATTCTAGGTCTACTGCATCGCCACACACAGAATCACTTTCTCATGAACATACATACATGTGCACCAGAAATATAAATATATGCACATCAAGACCAAGTGAAATTTATCCCAGGGATACTAGGCAGGTTTAACATGAAAAATGAGCCAATATAATTCACCACATTAACAGATTAAAAGGCAAAAACATTATTTCAGCAGATTCAGAAAAAGCATTAGACAAAATCCAATAGGCTCATAAAAAATTTCAGTCAACTAGGAATAGAAACGAAGTTTCTCAAAATGATAAAAGGCAGCTACCAAAAAAAAAATCCTATGGTTGATATTTAGTGGGTATTACCCTTAATAATGAAAGACTGGATGCTTTCACCCCAGATGAGGAACAAGCCAAGAATGTTGGCTCTCACCACTTATTTCAGCGTCTTAAGAAGATACCATCAGGGCAAAGGACTCCTTCCTTAAATAGACACAGATTTCCATGTGGAGTCATTATTCTCTTGCTGGATGTATGTCTTTTACCACTTCTCAGTCTGCATATCTCCTGGTGATGATTTGTTTCATCTTTTTTGTGTCTCCAAAAACCTCTTTATTTTGCCATCTCTTTGGGAAATATTTTGACTGTGTAAAAAATTTTAGGCTGACAAATTTATTTCTTTTAATATTTTAAAGAATTTTCTCCACTGTCATACAACTTGCAACTTTCCAACAAGAAATCTGCTTCATTCTTATCTTTGATTTTCTGTACATATATGTCTTGTTCTTCTCTGGCTGTTTGTAGGAGGACTCAGTTTCCTGGGCATAGATATGCACGGGAAAGATGCAGTAACTACATCAAGTGTGGTGTTGTCCAAGGGTGGATAAATAGGCCAACAGAACAGAGCAGAAGGCCCAGAGACAGACCCACATAAGTCTAAACATGATTGATAACCAAAAATCAGAACAATAGTGAAGGACTATATTTGTTATAAATGTGCTGGGACCATTGGATAACAATCAGCTAAGTGGGCCAAGCAGCCTTTTGGCTTAGGCTGAAGCAGGATAATAATGTTACCTATTAATAGAGTGTGAAAACTGGCTTCATGTTTTCACAGTGATTAGAGCAATATTGAGATACAGTAAATCATCAGTGAACATATTTGCTCTAGTTGCTATTGCTACTATTCATCTTCCTGTCCCGTGCAGCGTCTTATGGTTACCATGATTCAAGTGCCTCCTGGTGAGGCCGAAACTCCACAAGACACTCTGGTCAGTCCTGGGGTACAGTTTCTTCCAGGTGGCAGAGGCTCAGTCCTGGTCACCCGCTGATCCCTTCTCAGGATGTGCCACACAGTTCTGCCCTACTGCGGGGTGAATGCTGGGATGCCTCTCTCTTTAAAAATTCCAAACAAGGGAACTGGTGTGAGAGGGTGGGTGCCTCCACTCCCTCAGCCCTTATTTCCAGGTGGGGATCACCCCAGAGGAGTAATTCTTGAGATGTGGTCCCCAACACCTTTTTAGGGGAAGGGAGGCCAACATAATCTTCAGGTAATACTTGAAGTATTGAAGTGAGTCTGTGTTTCTCACACTCATGCACTCCTGAGTGAAAGTGGAGTTTTCCAGAGACTGTATGAGGTGAGATGAAGCCGCCAACTGGAAAACTACACCAATGCAGAAGCAGCTGTGAATGTCCAGCTTGCTGCTGGGCCTCTAAGAGGTCTGCAAAATACAAAACCATCTTGCTCTTCTCAATAACATAACTTTTTAAAGAAAACATAGTTATTTTTTCTAAAATTTATTCATGTTTACATGGAATAGGCATACAATTTATGTTCTAAAGGAGTTAATAAGTAAACATTTGTAAAGTTCTGAGTTATAATTACTAATACTGTAAATATTGAAAGATACAACCCTGATCCACAAAAGTTCTTTGAGCTGCTCAATACTATTTAAGACTGAGAATCTCAGGTCTATTTTAAGCTCTGGGCTCTCTCTCTTTCCCCGCACTTTTTCCCTCCCGGGGAGAAGGAAAGAAACTGATGAGTGAGTTTGGAAGAATAACCTGGAGTGAGTGCTCCCTTCACCAGTGGGTGGTGAGTTCCCCAGAAGGACTGCTTTCCTCCAAAGAGAGATGGGCAGGAAGAGGGAGGAGGGATGGGATCCTCTGGAGTAGGTACCATTTAAGGGGCACTTTTGAAAGTCAGTTTTTTAGACATCCAAGCCCCTTTCTCCAGTTCAATTTTAGGAGCAATAGAAGTAATGCATTGTTCTCCATCTGACACTGTCCTCATTCCTTCATTCACTTTCATCAGTAGTTCTCAATTCCAGAGGGAAGGAAGGGGATTACTTACTAAACTGTAATAGTCCATACCTAGCCTTGACATTTTTGTTTTTCTGAGTGAGTGAGAGAATTCAGGAAACTGAGGACTGTCTGTGTTGCCAGGAGCTCATCAGCTGCAAGGATAATAGAGACGTTTCCACAAAAAACTAAAGAACCATAAGCCAGATGCTCACCTCCAAGGGAACTGTTGGCCCAGGGTAAAGGCACATAAAATGCCCAAATTGTATCCCCTGCCTGAACATAGCAGCAGCCCAACTCTGTGAGATCAACCTGCCTCTTACTTCCAGGCATCCAAACTTCACGGGCTAAAGTCCTAACCCTGAATGTGACAATATTTTGAGATAGGGCCTTTAAAGAGATAATTAAGGCTAAGGAGCTCATAAGACTGAGGTCCTAATCCTAAAGAATTAAAATCCTCATAAGAATAGAAAGTGTCCCCAGGGATGTGGGTACACAGAAAAAGGCCATGTCATGACACAGGGAGAAGGCGGCCATCTCAAGTCAAAGAGGGAGGCCTCAGGGGAAGCCCACCCTGCTGATACATTGATCTTGAACTTCCAAGCTCCAGGACTCTGAGAAAATAAATATCTGCTGTTTGTAGCCTAATCTATGGCATTTTGTTAGAACAAAACACGCTGACTAAAGACAGGCAGCCCGGATCAGCCCTTCTGTGCTCTAGGGCCAGGGTTTCTGCCATTCACTTATCAAAGGACAACATCAAATTATGTAAATCAAACTCTGTTTCAAATTCTAGTGTGATGTGAAACAAACTAATAGGAGATATGAACATGTCCCTATCAATTTTGTCATTTACACTAGGCAGAAATCAATATGATCCAAGTAACAGCATTTAAAGAATTGCTGTAATCTAAACATCTCAGAATTGCTTTAGAATGTATCACATTGAATATCTAAAATAAGAGAATGTACATTGCTTACCAGTATCACTGGCACATTTACAAACCTGAGCAAGTTTTCGGCAACAGAGAAAACAGTGTGAATTTCACATAACAGTCATAGTATTATACAAGTGACATTTTCCAAGTGAGTAAAAAACTGACAAATCAATTACAAGAACACTGGGAACAATCTCCAAAGACGTGTTCGTCGAATTCTAGTTAGAATATGGTTGGGAAGCCTCAAGAAGGCAGAGACAATGAAAACATGTGGAAACATGCAAGGTGGAAAGGTGGACTAGTGAGCGATGGATAACATCAGATGATGGGGGGTTAATGTCAGACTTGCAGGGCATTTTGCTACTTGCTGGGAATTTGCTAGGGTAGGAGGAAGGTGTGGCCTCTGCCCTACTGGGGCTTCAAGTGCAAATGAGACAGGAGTACAATAAACTGATAACAACACACAACACAGAATACATAGAAAATAATTATAGACAATTATCTTCACATTAAAAGAAACAAACCTTTTAGAGAAGAGTCAAAAAGGGGTGGAGATTTAAATGGGGTGGTCTGGACAAACATCTTTAAGGAGTGAAGGGTGAAAAAGAGTAAAATGTACAGATAGTGTTGAGGGAGTGCTCTAAGCAGGGAAGGGAGAAAGGGACCTTGCAAGGTTGGGCGCGAGTCTGGTGCAAACAAGGGAGAGAGTGAATCCTGTGTGAGGATGTCATGGGACAAGGTCAAATGGTGCACCTGAGGACAACTCAGGGGGTGGACACCATCCTGAAATCTAAGAGTTACGCTGGCTGGGGTGCAATTGAACAAATGAAGCAGGGTGATGTGCTGCTGTGATGGCTATAGAGCATTGACGGGATGGAGCTGGGGCTGGTCAGGGGCTCTCATTAAGGTTCTGACCATGGTGGGTGCCGGGCAACACCCTGGTCAGGGTGGGGAAGAATGCATGACATTCTGCAGGGTGGGATTCCTGTGAAGAAGCACAGGCGCTAGATTGTGTGATGAGTCTGGGAAAAACACAGAGAGTAGCCTGTGCGTGGAACCTGGAATGAGCAGAGTGAAACAGCTTGGAGAAACCAGGCTGTAGGCCAGACTGCCAGCGTTAGATCTCTCCACAGTGAGCAACGCCAGAAACAACTTGTTATGGCACTCTTACTGAATCGCTTTCCTGGCTTTTGTAGGAAGGGATGGATGGAAACTTGAGGCCATAATGGTGGAGGAACATCAGGATCATGAATCAGTCTCTGCCCAGGGGTCCCCAGGAAGGATGGACTGGGGTGACAGAGGACAGAACTCCGAGCAAGGTGACTGAATAAGGATGAATGACACTTGTCACTCTCAGAAATATGGAGCTTGCAGAAGCCAGGAAGGTTGAACTAGTTTACAGTCCCACCAACAGTGTAAAGATGTTCCTATTTCTCCACATCCTCTCCAGCACCTGTTGTTTCCTGACTTTTTAATGATCACCATTCTAACTGGTGTGAGATGGTATCTCATCGTGGTTTTGATTTGCATTTCTCTGATGGCCAGTGACTATAAACTAGTTCAACCATTGTAGAAGTCAGTGTGGCGATTCCTCAGGGATCTAGAACTAGAAATACCATTTGACCCAGCCATCCCATTACTGGGTATATACCGAAAGGATTGTAAATCATGCTGCTATAAAGACACATGCACACGTATGTTTATTATGACACTATTCACAATAGCAAAGACTTGAAACCAACCCAAATGTCCAACAATGATAGACTGGATTAAGAAAATGTGGCACATATACGCCATGGAATACTATGCAGCCATAAAAAATGATGAGTTCATGTCCTTTGTAGGGACATGGATGAAGCTGGAAACCATCATTCTCAGCAAACTAGTGCAAGGACAAAAAAACCAAACACCGCATGTTCTCACTCATAGGTGGGAATTGAACAATGAGAACACATGGACACAGGAAGGGGAACATCACACTCTGGGGCCTGTTGTGGGGTGGGGTGAAGGGGGAGGGATAGCACTAGGAGATATACCTAATGTTAAATGATGAGTTAATGGGTGCAGCACACCAACATGGCACATGTATACATATGTAACAAACATGCACGTTGTGCACATGTACCCTAAAACTTAAAGTATAATAAAAAAAGAAAAATAAAATAAAATAAAATAAAATAATTAGCTGGAAAAAAAAAAAAAAAGAAGAAGCCAGGAAGGTCTGCTTTGCTCCTGACCTGCCTTTCCAGAGGGTTTCCATGGGAATTGAGAATAATGGGCTATCAACAGAAGCAAAGTAATTTTGTCTTGAATTCAGTCAGAAATCTGGTTACTCTGAAAATACACAAAGGTAATAAATAATCTCAAGAACATTCACCCTGCTCCTTGGAGGATCCAGCATGTTTTCCAGACATGATCCCTTTTACAGCCTTGTGCATAGGCAGTCCCTGCCTTTGTGGAGGAGCTGAGCCCCCTAGAAGAGCAGTTTGTTTCCAGCTGTGAGGCTGAAATCTGCCCTGGGATCGGGGGCCTGAAACGCCTCATTTTATCCATGCCTCCATCTCACTCAACAAAGCCCTCTGAAAAACAGCCTTTAGGGACTCCCTGTGCCTCTTCCTGTAGAGTTACTCAGCCAAGAAGTAGATGACTAGGTGAGGCATGCTGACCACAATGGACAGTAGCAACAGGAGGTCAAAGGCAAGGGTCAGAAACTTTCCTGGCAGGCACACAAGGACAACTAAGGGCAGGACCCAAAGGAAGAAGCTGATGATCACAAAGCAGACAACATGATAGGTCCTGATGGGGGAACACCACTGGGGACAGCACAGACCCCAGATGATCAGGATCAGCTTGGACATGCCCATTACAAAGCAAATAAGTACATGACATGTCATAAAGCCTCATGAAATTGGTCACATGCCAAGCACTTCTCCCAGTACTCACAGACCTGGCTAACTGCATACAAAGAAAGGGCCAGGGCCCACCTCACCATGGCAGAGGTGTGCTCTGGGCGGTGGCAGCACCAGGTGGGACAGAGGGCACAGAGAAAGCTCTCAATACTCATGGCCACCAGGAGACAGAGACCCACTGTGTCGGAGAAATAGGAGACAGGATCCAGAAACACAGCCACCTGCAATGCCGCCTGGTGATACAGCATGAGGATTTTCTCCAGCAGGATCA
Source organism: Homo sapiens (assembly GCF_000001405.40). Taxonomy (NCBI): domain Eukaryota; kingdom Metazoa; phylum Chordata; class Mammalia; order Primates; family Hominidae; genus Homo; species Homo sapiens. The sequence goes on from NT_167245.2 coordinate 741,233, forward strand.
CAGTTACACAGGAGAGGTTGACCATATCAACAGTGGCCAGGTTAAGGATGTAGGTCACATAGGGGCTGCTCCAGACCTGTGAGTAGAGAAGCCAGCAGATCACATCATTGCCTACCAGTCCACAGAGGGCCACCAGCACTGTCAGGGAGAAGACCACCTGCCTGTCCACCAACCACTCACCTCCCGTATGGCTCATGTTCACATGTCCTGAGGTCTCAGTCTCATTGTCCCAATCCAGCTTTCCAGAGAGGGTTGCGAGAAGCTAGGCTATGGTGGGCTACCTTTGCTGCCTGCGCACATCCTGCAAAAACAAAGGCTGGTAACATACCAGGTCTGGAGAGGAGAGTCAGGGTTGCCCTCTGTCCTCAGAGGTTCCTGCTGAGCCTCATGAGATTGGCAGGGATTCTGCAGAGCAGAGTGGAGGAAAGGAGCAAGCTTCTTGTGGGAGACCCATCCCTTCCCTCCCAGATTCTCCATTGCAGGATGCCCTCTCATGCATACCCTTACCCCTCTCTCCACCGCATTCAGTTATCCCTGATGCTTCATGCTGTGCCCAAGGCCCAGTGTGTATCCCGTGCACCCAGATTATCTATAAGGCTGCATAAAAAAATACATTTGTTTACATTAGCCCATAGGGATGGTTCTCCAACTTTCCCACTGGTACAGGCTGTTTTTGTGACATCGTTTTGGTGGGGGCACTGAGTGACTACTTTACCTTGAGGTTCTGAGACTCCTTGAGTCCTGGATGGGGAGGTTGCTGGTCAGTACTCAAGGGAAGGGCTCCCAACCTTGCTCCTGCTCACCTCTTCTCTGTTAGCTCTCAGGCCTCCTCCCTGGACCTTTGCACATGCTGTTCTCCTGCTTGGAAGAGCCTCTGTGCCTCAGTGAGCTCGGTCTCCTCCTTCCAGTCTCTGCCTCAGGGTCACCTTCCAGGTGATCTTCTGCTGATCAGCCTTTAAACATTGCACTCTTGACCTGCTGGCAGTCTATGATATTCACTTACTTGCTTTTGTGGGAATCATGCCCTGGAATGGAAGTTCCATGAGAATTTACTTTGTCTTTAAAATTCTGTTCACTGCCTTTTCTCCAGCCCCTGGAACAGGGTTTGACACTGAGGAGCTACTTGGGGAGGGTGCCTGCAGAGGACTTAAGTTGCTCTGTTACATGTAGGTGAGAGCAGGGGACCCTGCACACCAGAAGCTGCTTCATGGGGTCCCGAGGGAGACATGCACTTGAGCCATGGGCTCTGTCCACTTCAGGAGCAGGCACTCCGCTTCAGGCTGCCAATCACAGGTCTTTGTGTGAAGAATTGTGCAGGGAGGGCAAAGGTACCACTTTGCCTTAGAATTTCCTAGTTTGTATTCCTGAAAATTCCTTGTCCTGAATATCCCGATAGCCCTGGGAAAACCAAGCTGGTTGGTCACCTAACTAAAAATGAAACGGGAGAGGATCAATACCTCTTCTGGGAACCCACAGCTGAGTCAAACCTAGTAACCTGGGAGTTCAGGCCAAGGGTATGAAAGCTGATCTTATGTGGGCAAATCACAGCTATCTTTGATAAGCAGTGGATCCTTTTCTGCCTCAGTATTCCCAGCTATCTAAGGGTTGCTGTTATTAGCTGAATTGTGACCTTCTAAATTCATATGTTAAGGTCCTAACCCCTAATACTTCAGAATGTGACTGTGTCTGCAGACAGAATCTTTGAAGAGGTAATTATGTTAAAATGGGTCTTTAGGTTGGGCCCTAATCCAATAGGACTGGTGTCCTCATGAGATGAGGAGATTAGGATTAGTTAAACACACAGGGACAACCATGTAAGCATGCAGGGAAAAGACAGCCATCTACAAGCCAAGGAGAGAGGTCTCAGAAAGAACCGACAGTGCCGACCCCTTAATCTCAGAATTCCAACCCCCAGGACTGTGACAGAATAGACTTCTATCATTTAAGTCACTCAGTCTGTGGTCTTAGTCATGGGAGTCCAAGCTGATGATCACAGTAGTGAAGAGAACTTTATACATGGAATCATGGGAAGTCTCAGAATGGTGAGACGAACCTGGTCCTACAACCCTGAGCTACTGAAGCTTTGTTTATGGATCACAGAGGCTTCTAAAACAAAGATTGTTCCACAAATTGATGAAAGCCTAAGATATGCCAGGAAATATCTCACACGTGACCCTGTGATCTGCAGTCACATATTGGTGCATCAGTGGGGTTTCAGGAGAGTGCTAGGGACCAGCTCCAAGTGAGCCCAGTGTTTGAATCTTCCCTCCTTGCCAGGATGATGGAGTTCCCCTTCAGTCAGCAGCTCTGTTGAAATGGAAGGGTCTGGCCCCAGTCTCGCCCCTCCCTGTGCCTGTTGCCTAGACTTTCTTATCTGAGGCCAGGAGAGGAAAGCAGATCCAGCTTATATCTAATCTGGTCATAAGACGAGGCTTGGGGCTTAGTAACATTGGTGTCCATGGAAACATCAGGCTGATGTGCGGTTCTGTGCCCAGGCCAGGGTGTCAGAACTCGTGATGGTGACAGAAGAGAAACTGCAAACAGGACTCCATGGCCCACCCCAGGCCACCAGGGCACCAAGCAGGAGCAGCTGGGCTTTGGTCTCCAACAAGGAGAGGAGATTTATAGATAAAATAGTTTCATGGGAAGAAGTGACTTCCCCTCCAGCCAGAAGAAAAGATCCGCTATGGAGGTGGCATGTGGCCTCAGGGGCAGAGTCATGCTTCCCATTCCTGAGCTCATTGAAACCCAGCTCATGCCCAGAGACGACCACTGAGCCCAGTGACTGAGCAGTACATTCTTCATTGTCACCTAGGAGGAGGAGGCAGCCCTCCTGGGGTGGAGAGGCCTCGGCATCTGGTGTGGCCCCAGCACTGGGCATAGAGACATCCTGGTACTTGGAAATGTCATTTGTGGTCTTGGGAATGTCATTTCCAAGTTGGGTCATGAGCCAGGCTCCCCAAGGAGTAGATACAACAGGCTGGATCCTGGGATTCAGGGAGCCAGCGCTGTTGGAAGTGCTCAGTTTGGTGCAGCCAAAATAGCCAAGTAGCCTTTGCATTGGGATTGAAGTATTTGCTCTGATTCTGAGGCGAGAGCCCACCCTCCCCACTTAATTTTTATCTGAGGTGAAATTCACATAACAGAAATTAACCAATTTAGAGTGCACAGTTCTGCCTCACTTTGCCTCTTCACAATATTGCGCAACCCCCAACTCTATCTAGTTCCAAAACATTTTCATGCCCCATAAGGATGCCCTTAGCAGTTACATCCCTTTCTCCCTCCCAGCTCTTGGCAACCACCATCTGCTTTCTGTCTCTGCGCATTCACCCATTCTGGACACGTCCTATTAGTGGAATCAAACCTTCCGTGACATTTTGTTTCTGTTTCTTTCACTCAGCCTCATGTTTTCATGGCTTGTTCATGGTGCAGCATGTGCCAGAACTTCATTTTCTGTGTTAGATGAGAATTAAATACGAATATAGAAGCTGGGAAATTGGAAAATCTGAAAGGTTACACCCAGAAGTCATAGACCACACCTCAGTAACACAGTGGCTCAAATCCTACTTCTAACAGAAAAACACACCCTCTGCCCATCTACACAGCCAGGGCACCTGTGAACCAGGGACCAGAACACAGAAGTAGCTCACCCACTGGGGCTACCTTGGGAACCGCAGGCCCTCCTTTTTCCAGGAAACTGGTTTCTATCCTGTCAATCTTCAAATGCACCTTCCTCAGTAAAAAAAAAATCACAAGGTTTTAAATTTTTTTAAAAAATGAGTCTTTGAGTTAAAATGCTTTGAAAATGAAAAAAAAGGTAGAGACCTTTTTTCTCATACCTGGGAGGACTTGGACGGACTTGGTATCACAGAGGCCAACCTCCTGAGAGATCAAAGTTCTGCCCTCATGTCAGGAAGCTCTCTAAGCATATCTGCTTTGAACTGGGTCTTGACAAGCAGTTATCAAGTTCCCTGTGTCCCTTAGGTCTTCCTGTACCAGGGCCACTTGCATATCAGAGCCCAGGCCTTTAACTGAAGCATCTTTATCTCAACATCTCACGATATCCCCCAATCCTGTCTGACTCTATTACTCTGTCCTTAAGAACTGTCCCCTGAAACAAAGAAGAATCTTTAAGAGAAGTCAGTCTCTCCACTTTAATGCATCTCCCAGACTGAGGTCCAGCCCAGCCCAACCCATCCTAGAAGGCAGAAGAGGAAAGTCAGGTCAGCATTTTCCCAATGAACTCAGGAATTCCAGTAGCTCAAACGTGCTCCTTGGATTTTGTCATGAATTGAATTGCATGTTTTGTAAAGTAAAATTAATGTAAGAACTTTACTTTGCTGTCTTCTCAAAGATCAATTTGCTCTTTCTTGATTTTCTCTAGTGCATGTTTGTTTTTGTTGGAAAATTAGTCATGAATGATCCATAAACATAATGTAAAGAAGTCTTGGGAATGTTTTTGTGCTGTGCCACTTACCAAGCAGGTTCTGACACAACATATTGGCAAATTCTTACTGAAAGCCAGATCAAGCTCACACTCCATGTATCCTCATGCTATTCCCCTCCGTTCACCTACAGCTGTTTGTGAAGGAGCCAGCTGATCATTTCATATAGACTTTTGTTCACATGTGGCTCAACTTGAGAAAAATGAGATGGATGCAAGGCTCCTTTCGTTGGTTTCTCTAGCAATTCATGCATTTCTAGCTTGAAGTTGCTTCTTATCCCTGCAGGAAATAATCTTTTATTATATTCCCTCTTAAAACCTTGTGGTTAAATGTGATTCACATAGTGGGGCAGATGGTTTCTGTATGGTTCTACAGTGACCAGGAAGGAGAGATATATAAGAATGAAATACACTATGATCAAAGGGTGACAAGATGTTAAAATACACCCCTCCTTGTCCTTCGGTGCTGACTGGCTGTTTACCTCACTGCAGAGATAGAATCTGAGAAGACCTCAAGGTCACATAGGGAATGTGACTTTATGGGACAGTACTGATCCTCCCTACAAGGGAGCCATTAAGGGTCTAGAGCAGCTGTTACCTTTGGTCCTATCTCCTCTATATTTCATGTAGTTTTTATATTCAAGAGATTGTGGATCTTGAATTTTTTTATTATATGTACCCAAATTATTTTTTCATTATTATTATTTTTTAAATTATACTTTAAGTTCTGGGATACATGTGCAGAACTTGCAGGTTTGTTACATAGGTATACATGTACCATGGTGGTTTGCTGCACCCATCAACCCATCGTCTACATTAGGTATTTCTCCTAATGCTATCCCTCCCCTAGACCCCCACCCCCAACAGGCCCCAGTGTGTGATATTCCCTGCCCTGTGTCCATGTGTTCTCATTTTTCAATTCCCACCTATGAGTGAGAACATGCCGTGTTTGGTTTTCTGTCCTTGCGATAGTTTGCTGAGAATGATGGTTTCCAGCTTCATCCATGTCCCTGCAAAGGACATGAACTCGTCCTTTTTATGGCTGCATAGTATTTCATGGTGTATATGTGCCACATTTTCTTAATCCAGTCTATCATTGATGGACATTTGGGTTGGTTCCAAGTCTTTGCTATTGTGAATAGTGCCGCAATAAACATACGTGTGCATGTGTCTTCATAGTAGCATGATTTATAATCCTTCGGGTATATACCCAGTAATGGGATCACTGGGTCAAATGGTATTTCTAGTTCTAGATCCTTAAGGAATCACCACAGTCTTCCACAATGGTTGAACTAATTTACACTCCCACCAACAGTGTAAAAGCCTTCCTGTTTCTCCACATCCTCTTCAGCATCTGTTGTTTCCTGACTTTTTAATGACTACCATTTTAACTGGCATGAGATGGTATCTCATTGTGGTTTTGATTTGCATTTCTCTAATGACCAGTGATGATAAGCCCTTTTCATATGTTTGTTTGCCACATAAATGTCTTCTTTTAAGAAGTGTCTGTTCATATCCTTCATCCACTTTTTGATGGGGTTGTTTGTTTTTTTCTTGTAAATTTGTTTAAGTTCTTTGTAGATTCTGGATATTAGCCCATTGTTAGATGGATAAATTGCAAAAATTTTCTCCCATTCTGTAGGTTGCCTGTTCACTCTGATGATAGTTTCTTTTGCTGTGCAGAAGCTCTTTAGTTTAATTTAATTAATTTGTCAATTTTGTCAAATTTTGTCAATTTTAATTAGTGTAATTTGTCAACTGAACTAAAATTTGTCAATTTTAATTAGTTTAATTTGTCAATTTTGGCTTTTGTTTCCATTGCTTTTTGTGTTTTAGTGATGAAATCTTTGCCCATGCCTATGTTCTGAATGATATTGCCTAGTTCTAGGGTTTTTATGGTTTTAGGTCTCATGTTTAAATCTTTAATCCATCTTGAGTTAATTTTTGTATAAGCTGTATAAAAGGGGTCCAGTTTCTGTTTTCTGCATATGGCTAACCATTTTCGCCAACACTATTTATTAAATAGGGAATCCTTTCCCCATTGCTTTTTTCTGTCAGGTTTTTCAAAGATCAGATGCTTGTAGATGTGTGGTGCTATTTCTGAGGTCTCTGTTCTGTTTCATTGGTCTATATATCTGTTTTGGTACCAGTACCATGCTGTTTTGGTTACTGTAGCCTTGTAGTATATTTTGAAGTCAGGTATCGTGATGCCTCCAGCTTTGTTCCTTTTGCTTAGAATTGTCTTGGCTACACAGGCTCTTTCTTGGCTCCATATGAAATTTAAAGTAGTTTTTGCTAATTCTGTGAAGAGAGTCAATGGTAGCTTGATGGGGATAGCATTAAATCTATCAATTACTTTGGGCAGTATGGCTTTTTTCACGATATTGATTCTTCCTATCCACAAGCATGGAATGTTTTCCCATTTGTTTGTGTCCTCTTTTGTTTCCTTGAGAAGCAGTTTGTTGTTCTCCTTGAAGAGGTCCTTCACATCCCTTGTATGTTTTTTTTTAAGAAACAGAATCTCACTTTGTTGCCCAGACTGGCATGGAGTGAAATGATCTCGACTCACTGTCTCAAATTCTTGGTTTCAAGAGCATCCTCTGTTCCCACTCTCTCATGATACCTAATACTGGTGATTATCAGGCTCAAGTCCTGCCTATAGTCATGTATCTGAAACACAATTGGGATTCTATCCAGGGACTCTTGTCCACAGGACACCCCTAATAAGATTGGCCTCCCCCATATAGTGTATCTCTTATGCTTTTCTACCTTTGAGAACCAGCACTATTTGCTTCTATCACAGTAAAAGCCACACTCAGATAATTTTATAAACATAAATCTAGGCCCTGGTTTAACAACAATGGGCATCAATGTATGAGGCAAGCTTATCTAGTACTAGGATTCCAGTTTGCTGTGTAGCATTCCCATAGAAGGCTGTCTTTGCCTTTTCATTCAAGGATAAGAAAATATTTCCAGTTAGAAATGTTTTTGGCTGCCAAATAGAGAAGCTCAATTAAACTAATTTTAGCAGTCAGTGATGTATAATATTGAAGCACAAGACACCTGTAGATAGGGCTGCTGCAAGATGTTCAAGTCAGTGGCACAATGTCTTGAAAAAATTAGAATTATCCACTTTTACTTCTGGCATCTTCAGAATATTGTCCTCATTCCTCACTGGGCATGTTTTCCGAATGCTTAGGATATGACTTCATACTCAGAATATGATATAAAAAATGCGAGAAAAAAGAACTTCCTTTCCTTCCATCTCTTTTTATATCTGTGAAAACTCTTCTTAGAGTCATACCACATAGAATGTCCTGCGATATCTCATTGGAATGCCCTCACCATAACCAACACTTAGGCCTTTTTCACCTACCCCCAAATTATATACACCTCCCTCCCTTGTCCAAGTTAAAATTAAAATATTTGCATCTATTTGAAATGCATTCATTATTTTGTCAAGAACTGTATGTACCTAGTATCATCTTGTTACTGCCTCTAGCTCCATTCTGGCACCCACGTGACAGGCATTTAATTCCATTCATTCAGTGAGTGTCCTTTCCAGCTAGACATTCTTGGGTAAAAGAACAGACAGAATCACACTTGTTGTCAGGAAAGTAAGTTCCATCACTCTCAAGCTCACAGTTCTCTGTTCTTCTCATTGGAAGGATTCACCTAATCTATTTAGTGAATTGTCCATAGACACTGGAACTTCCCTCTGGGAGATTTTCCTTATTTGGTTTATTCCGTGGCCACACCTGGGTGTTTGAGGTGAAACACCTTTCTAATGTTTGTTCATATTTCACAATCCCATTTCTTTTGGCAAAAGGTCAGGGTTCAGGTTTGGACCTTTGGGTCTGAACATATGATGTTATTGGCCATGTTATTTTCACTTATTAGTTTGATTTTATTTGTTTTATTTTTTCCTTTTATTTTAAGAGGTGGGGAGTAGTAATTTCATTAAAAACTTTTGTCTTACAAATTCCCTGGAAACAATCTCATGAAAATATTTATCAATGTAATTTGTGTGTGTGTGTGTGCGTGTGAGAAGATTCCTGTTCCTAGCTATGGGCACCAGTTCCTGCTAAGTCCTACTTCATGGCTTTGCCTTGGAGAAGTACATAACAGCTACAGGTGTGAAAGTGCCCAGTCACCCAATCCCTCCCAGATGCATCTCTGCAGTAGGGACAGTGGGATTTTCTGCCTTGGGAGCAGGTAAAACCAGTATTGTTGCAATAAACACCCTGTCACGGATATCACTTGGTAACACTATTTTGTCTCTGTAAAATGGAGCAATAAAACTTTAAACGTTGATTATAAGTGTATGTGTGTTTATAATTTTAAGGTACAGTACTCAATTTTTCCCCAACAAAAGCAATAACTTAAACTCACCACTTTGGTTGCAGAAGACATTAAATCCTCCATATTCTTCTGTGTGTCCAGCCATTAAAGCTTATTAATAACAGGGGTAGAAAATCATATCTCATTATGCAGTGCTCCTGATGACTAACAAAGTTGAATAATTTAACCGTTTAACAAAAAAGATTAAAGTGGGCTTATACTTCACACTATCCTCCAGTAAAAAAAAATCAAATTGATCAAATATTTACATGTTTACAAATGAAATAATTTAATAGTATAAGACAGCATAGATTCATTTTATATTATCTCATGTAGGTAAGACTTCTTTAATCATAACTCAATACATAAGCCATAAAAGACTGACAAATTCAAATTTATAAAAACGGTGTGCTTGACAATAACATGTTTTTAAAATCATAACCGAAGTAAGTGACCAATGAAAATGTTGGAAATTGTATCTGCAGCTCAGACAACTGAAAAAGGACTAATCTGCTTATAGATGGAGAGCTAACAGAAGTGGAGAGACAAAGACCTGTCCACGAGAAGTCTCATGCCCCTTCCTTCACTCTGACACCTCCTTAACATGCTCCTGAAATGTCAGCATCATGAGACATGAGCTACACAATGATGCAGTATGGGAATTAAGAGGTAACCATATATTTTAATATCAGACTTGAATGAATCTTCTTTGTTTTGAGTAACATGTACACATAATTGAATAAGCACATATAGAAATCATTAAAAAAAGTTATTTGACAAATTACACCTTAAAAGGAGACTATACATTATTTTAAACACCATGGTGGACAAAACTGACCATGTCTTCAGCCACAGAGTAAATCTGAAAGAAATACAAATAATAATATTAATAATAACATTTTGTTGGTTATATTATTTGACCACAATAAAATAATATATACAATAACTAGAATTTAAAGCATATATATATATAAAGCAATATTATAGAATGGCAATTCTAGTCCTTGAAGGATTGTCTAAAATCACAGATATAAAATTAATAAGGCTTAAATAAAGGGTATGTACTTAAAGGGAATGCAATTTTTATTCAAATTACAAAGAGGTATTATTAAAACAACTTATTATGTACAAAGCACTGGGACATTAAACTGAATCATGAAGTAATGACTTCAACCTCACAAAACTTCTCGTCTTCTAGGGGAAGCTTAAAATAAGACCAAAATGGTGGAACCATTACAAATTACAATAATGTTGTAAGAAATAAAAGATCAATAAGACCAGCCAGAGAATGTGATCATAGAAATGCTCTTAAAGTTGACCTTTTTAACTAGAGATAAAACATGGAAAAGGCAAAAACAAGGAAAATTGTGAGTGACATAATTCCTCACAGAGGAAAGAAAATTTGCAAAAAGGATGTGTTCCATTTAACAAAAGAAACCCAATATGAGAGTTTTGTAAGCAATGTAAGCAAGATGAAGAATTAAATGGTATTAAGTTGGAGAGAGGATGAGGTAAATTTGCTTTCTTCAAAGTAAAAGGTTTGGGTGTAAATTCTAACCTAGTGAGGAGGGATTATATTATCCAACGTAATGTTTTTGTACATTTATTCAACACACTGCAACATATTCATCATCCTTACTAAATAATTGTTACACATGTTGTAAATAAAATCCAAGGAGTCCTGTATATTCATAAGGTTAATTAATCCTCACACCAACCATGCATATTAAATACCAACTTTATCCTCCTCTTGCATAAGATGAAACAGAGTTACAGAGAGTTATTTGCCCACAATAACATGCTTTGAATGGGAGAGCCAAAGTTTGGACAAAGGCAATCTGGGTCCAAAACCCTGACTCTTACTCTTATGTGATGATGCCTCTTGGTAATTCCGACAAGCTCAAGCTCTATCTAAGGAGGAGATAGACAAAGGGAGGAAAATCTGTGGCTGGATTTGGAGGATGTTCCAGGATAATGATTGAGAATAATGCATGGCCTTTTGTATGGTCTTTATTTGGGATTCCACAGGTACCAGGAAAGTCTCACTGGGTCCCATTCCCCTCATCGTTGGAACTGGAGCACATTCAAACTGGGCTTACTGCCTAGGAAGGAAGTTAATGTCTCTTCCAACCACAAACAGCAAGGGGTTGTTTTGAAAGTCCATGAAAGCTGAACTTGATTAGAATAAAGCATTGATTTGATGCAGCAGCCTTATGATGCAGAACAGGCTGGGTTACTATGTGTACAATTCCCCAGCTCAGATGTGGGAAATTATGTTTCCACATCGACCCTGTGCTCCCTGGGAAGAAGGTTCTCCACATGCTGAGTAGAGTGTGGTTGCTCCATTGGGTCGATGCCAGCTGCCTTTTTGTTCCTCCCCACCTCTGGCTTATCTGCTAACGCCCGTTGGAGAATCACTCTGAGAGATTCCTTCAGCCTTTTCTTTCTGAGGCTCCCCACAAAGAAATAAATGATAGGGTTGGCGCTGCTGTTTATAATGAGGAACAAGGAAATTAAATAGGAGGTGGTGACAAACATTTTGAAATCTGTTATGAGGGGTGCCACGCTCAGGGGTAGGGCCCAGAGTAGGAACATGGGGGCCGAGATCTGCACCACCGCATAGACCCTGGTGGCCTTTTGCTGCTGGGAGCAGCACAGGAATCTAATGAGTAGAGTCAGACTCGACACACACATCACAAGTGAAAGGATAGCATGGAAGAGCCCAGAAAGCTTTAGAAATATGACACATGCCTTTACATGTTTCCAGTAAGTTAGGAAAAGTGATTTTACTATGTTGATGCAAAAAGGCAGGCCCCAGATGAGGGTGCAGACAACATTAGATGTGTATTTTGGGCGGTGGCATCTGTACCAGATGGGGAAGAGGACACACACACACCGCTCTGTGCTGATGGCCACCAGGAGACAGAGACACACCTCAAAGGAGAAGGGAGACAATATGGCCAGGAAATCAGGGATAAAAAACACGACTCCATGATAAGTTAGCAGAGTCACCTGTAAGAACCCCACTGCCGAGCAGCAAAGATAGATCACGTCAGCAGCGACCAGGTGGAGGATGTATACCATGTAGGGATTCGTGGCCCCACAGCAAAGCAGCCAGAAGACAGTGCCATTCAATAAGACCCCACAGAGGGAGACCAGCACAGCCTTGGGGGCAATGATATTCAAGGGCAGGGCCTGCTGTCCCACTGCCATGCTCATCTGCATATGTATGGTTTCATTCGTCTCATTTTGAAGAAAGACGCCACAGAGCTGAGATACCAGGTTTGGGTTCTGTGCCTCCTGGTCACCACTGTGGAGACAAAGGCTACATGAGAGAGATATCTGTGACTCAGCAAACACTGTCCATCCAGCCCTCTGGCTGAACCAGCAAATTTTCCCCCAGACCATGGGGTGCTGGGACCTGAGTGGGCCACAACATCACAGTCAGGAGCAGTGGTCCATCTAGTGGTGTCCTCTGGCCTCAGACCCCTTGCCTCTACATTTTCCTAGGCTGGAATAGAACACCCATTGTTGGGTGTGCTTTTTAGGAACAGCTGAACATTAACTACATATCAGAGTGGATGGGAGTATCTGCTCTGCAAATAGCTCTCCATGAATTTGTGATCTGTTCTCCCTCCCCTAACACATCTCCTGTTGTACAGGATGCCCCAGGCCTACCCACATAGACCCAATATCTTGTTGTTGGGCACTAATGAGGCACTAAACATTGGGAATGGAGATTTGTGTCTGGTCCAGGTTCTACTCATGAGACACTAGTGTCTCATCTCTTTTTTTTTTTTTTTTTTGAGTTGGAGTCTCACTCTGTCACCCAGGCTGGAGTGCAGTGGCGCGATCTCAGCTCACTGGAACCTCCACCTTCCAGGTTCAAGCGATTCTCCTGCCTCGGCCTCCTGACTAGCTGGAACTACAGGCACCCACCACCATGCCCGGCTAATTTTTTTGTATTTTTAGTAGAGATGGGGTTTCACCATATTGGCCAGGCTGGTCTCAAACTCCTGACCTTGTGATCCACCTGCCTTGACCTCCCAAAGTGCTGGGATTACAAGCGTGAGCCACGGCACCTGGCCATGTCTCATCTCTTTCAAACCCAGTCCTGGGCATCCTTGGGTAGCCATACAGGATGCAGCAGTGCCACAGTATGGCATTTCCCTGGGCTCAGACAGGTACAAGGGAGCACTGAGATTTCCAAGGCAGGCATTTCACAGCAGTTGGCACCAAAGAAGTCCTTTCTATGGCTGGCAGGACTTGACCTGGAAAATAAGGAAATCTGCGTTTCTCCAGGGGCGTGAGTCTCAGGCAGTGTCTGTGTGGGCATCATCGACTGCTATGCTCCAAATGTCAGCTGAGGAGAAGGAAATGAACAGACTTAGGGTGCAACAAATACAAAAGAGGCCTAAGAATATTAATATAAATATTAATATAGAGAATAGTATTTTAATGCTATGTAAATATATTAATATAGAGAGACTAGCATATTAATACTATGTAAATATTTATATATTAATAAATTATATTAATATAACATTGCTATATTAACATGTTATTAATATTGATGTTAATATATTCACATTATATATTTATGTTAATATATTAATTATATTAATATAACATATTCTCAATTATGCTATCAAGGATATTGATAATTAATATTGACATTAGTTTATTAATATTTATGTATTTATTTATTGCTGTTGTCCCAGGTTTATTGAAAATAAAATCCAGTGACTGCTGTATATTACAGCATTGGAGAAAGAGTCAAACAGCTCCACGAGGCATTTTGAAATTCATCCCAACTGTAGGCCGAGTGACCTGCAGGTTGGACAGGCTGCCAAAGTCCAAAAGCTTCAGCATTTCCTTAGTGTCAGGATCTACTTCGATGATCTCCTGATCCAGGGCTGAGACCTTGGGGACATAATTGTCCCTCCTTTCTTTCTCCTCCTCCTGTAGCTTGATGGAGATACCTCTCACTGGACCTCTCTGAATCTGGTTCGTCAGATGCGTGACGCAGCCTGCTCTCCTGTTGTGGAGCTTCTTGCTGAGGATAATGGGGATCTCCTCACACACACTTGTTTGTGTGGAAGTCATTGCCCAGGCACATGTAGTACTTTTCTACGATGACCTAGGCCACCTTCGTCACAGTCTTGATGCCAACACGACCCATGTTGGTGGGTCTTTGGTCATTAATATTAATTGATATTAACATTATTCAGTTTATTAATAATGTATCATTAATAATATTTATACAATATTAGTAAAATAGTTTATCAGTACATTTTAATGTTGATATGCTTTCAATATTAAGATATTAATGTATTATTGATTACATGTGAATATATTAGCATATTAACAGTATATATTAATATATTTGGTATACTATATTAATATTATTTATATGATATGAATATGCTATTAGTGGCATATTAATAACAATATATTAATAATATAATGTGATTAATAGTTGTATGTGATTATTAATTATTTATGATTATATTATGATTAACAAGTAGTACTATTATATCTTGTTTCTAATGAATAATTATTATTAATATTCAAAAAACTAATAATAATTGTTATTTTTATAGAATCTGGAATTGTGGAGCAGACTTCGCAAGGCTTCTCTGACCTCTGCCTCCCGCTCTGGGATCTGTGAAACACACTGGGCTCTTCTTCTAGACCTCCCTTTTTGAAGCTCCTCCAAAGACCGTTTCATCATCTCTACTCAACAGTCTCCTCAGGAAATTGCCTCTTCAGTAGGCAAATGTCACTTGCCACAAACTTATCTTTGGCATGAGGATAAGACAGTGCTAAGGTAGAACTGTCTGTACCTTCTTTGGGTTTACATTGTGATAACTGCAAGGAGAAAAATAAATTGGGCTGAGTGGATAGAAAATGATAAGGGTAATGGATGTTTCCTAGTGGGATAAATGAGGGGAGTTTCTTAGTAGGACATGGAGATCTGAATGACCTACTGGAGCAACCAGGTGACAGCCAGAAGGAAAGAGCCACAGGCAGGCTCAGCAAGTTCACCACCCTGGGGCAAGTGGCTTCATCTGCTTTGTTAATCTTTGATGCTCCTGTCCAGAGAGGGCCTCTTAAGCAACTTGAGTGCAATAACTATTTTTCTATTATTGCGTTAATAAACCCCAAGAAGGTCCCTGCAACTCTAGAGAGTTAAAGACTTATAAGCCATTTTCAAGATTGGAGAATATTCTTATCTCAGCCATCAGTGGACAGAAAGGGGCAGCCAGGCCCCTTCAGAGCAGCACTGAGCTACTGTCCCTGGAGTGGTGGGGCCTGACCACAGCTTCCTCTTTCAACCATGGAATCCTTATCACTATTTTGCAAACACCAAAGATGTAGCCTCAGATGTGAATCTACTCACATGCTGGAAGTTTGTCCATGATGTTGAGAGCTCGTTTAAGTGGAAGATCCTGGATGAGTGCAGATACAGACTGTGAGCAGGAGAGCTCTGCTCTGTCTCTTTTCAAGACTCTGAGACAGAGGCCAAGAGCCTAGCATGCAAAACACCTCAGACAATGCATCCAGGGTAGGGGAGAACTGATATGAACCATTCACCCTTAGCCAAAAACCTGCTCACCTTGGGCAGGTGTGGTACCTCAAGGCTGACCACAGACTAGAGGAGATCTCATGTGTCTTCCTTAGAGAGATTCCTGTCCACCTTCCTGTCTCAGGAAGATGGATGGAATCATTTCATTGGAGGATGCCAACATCCCCTGTCCAGGGCCCACTGCCTGAGCCTTGGACATTTCGGCTGAGCTGGCTAGGCCTCTGAGAATCAGCCCTGATGACCCTTGATGCCCCACTATGGAGTCCAGAACACTGAAGAACTTAGGATGCTTGAGAGGTGAAACGCTCTGGGCCCAAAGAGATCAGACCATCCTTTCCTGAGATCCTGAACACTGATAATGACTTCTCATACTTTAAGACAGCTTCACAGATGAAGTTGGCAGAGAAGCTGAGCTCACTAAAGCAGGATGTATCTGTAACAAGAAAAAAATCCTTAAATGAGTTGCTATAGCTGATCCATGGGAATGCCCAAAAAGATGTTACAGATTTCACTAGGGCTTAATCTTAGTCCTGCAGCACCAAGTACACACTCTTCCTCCTACTAACCTGGGAAGAGCCAGTTCAGGGGAGAACGGGAGGGAATAACCCAAATGTCCATTAACAGAGAGTGCCAACAGCTTCCAAAATGTGTCTCCAGTCAAGGACAGGCCAAGATGACTCATCAAAGAAATGCAAATCAAAACCACAACTAGATAGCACCTTACGCCTGTTAGGATGGCCATTCTGGAAAAACAAAAGATAACAAGTGCTAATGAGGATGTGGAGAAAGGGATCCCTCACACACTGTTGGTGAAAATGCAAAATGGCGCAGCTGCTGTGAAAAGCAGTATGGAAATTCCTCAAAAAATTAACAGTAGAACTGCACCGTATGGTCCAGAAATCCCACTTCTGAGTATTTGTCCAAAAGAATTGAAATCAGGTTTTCAAAGAAATATTAGCACTCTTATGTTTGCTGCAATACTATTCACAATAGCCAAAATGTGGAAACAACCTAAAAATCCATCAAAAAATGAATGGATAAAGAAAATGTGATATAAACATAAGATAGAATAGTATTCAGCCTTTAAAAAGGAAGAAATTTGGCCAGGTGTGGTGGCTCACGCCTATAATCCCAGCACTTTGGGAGGCCAAGGTGAATGGATCACGAGGTCAGGAGTTCAAGAGCAACTTGACCAACATGGTGAAACCCCGTCTCTACTAAAAATACAAAAATTAGCTGGGCATGGTGGCAGGTGCCTGTAATCCCAGCTACTTGGGAGGCTGAAGCAGAGAATTGCATGAACCTGGGAAGCGGAGGTTGTAGTGAGCCGAGATTACACCACTGCACTCCAGCCTGGGCAGGGGAGGGAGACTCCATCTCAAAAAAAAAATGGAAGAAATTCTGTCATATATGACAACATAGTTGAACCTGCAGATCATTATGGTAAGTGAGATTAGCCAGTCATAGAAGAATAAATCCTGCATGCACTTAAATAGGGTATCTAAAATAGTCAAATTCATAGAAACAAAGAGTGGGATGGTTGTTCCCTGGGCTGTAGGACAGGAAGTAGGGAGCTAGTAGTCAGTGGGCATAAAGTTTCAGTTTAACAAAATAGATAAGCACTAGAGCTCTACTGCACAAAAGTAGTAGTTGCCTATAGTTAACAACAGTGTACTGGAATGTTTTTGCAACTGAAGCTGCTTCATCTTTTTGAGCCTCTGGTATTTCCTCTGCAAAATTAGAATACTGATAATACCTACTTGTGGGTTTGAAAATTAAATGGGTGGATAGCATGTAAGTGCATGGAACAGTGATGAGCATATAGTGAGAGATGAATGAATAAATACTGTCCTGTTGGGACAGATGAATGTCAATAAGCAAATGCAGTAAATTGGATCATTTCAGACGGTGCTTACTACTCTGAAGGAAAAAAAAAAGTGGCAGTGGGATGGACTATCTTAAGGAAAACGGGAAAGACAGTGAGCCACTTAGGTTGGTCCTTTCTGAGCTGACAATATTTTCTGGCTTTTTCAGGAAGCCAATCCTGGGAATATCTAGAGGAATAGTGCTGCAGGTAGTGGGAACAGGAAGTACAAAGGCGCATAGGAAGAACAGTCGTATGGTTGAAGAAAAGAAAGAAGGCCAGTGTGGCTGAAGTTTAGGGAGGGAAAGAGAGAGTGAGAGAAATAAGCTTTTAGAGAGGTAGGCAGGTGTGGAATCATATAGGCCAAGATAAGAAGTTTGAATTTTAAGTGCAATGTCCAGGTGTTGGAAAGTTTTAAGCTCAGATAATAATATTATCTGGATTTATTTATTTCTTTAGAGACAAGGTCTCACTCTCTCACCCCCAGGCTGGAGTGCAGTGATGCAATCACTGCTGACTGCAGCTTCCACCTCTCCAGCCCAATCGATGCCTCCACCTCAGCCTCCTGAGTGGCTGGGACCACAGGCGTGTGCTGCCACATCTGGCTAGGTTTCTTTTTTAATTTTCTAATTTTTTTCTTTTTGTAGAGATGGGAGTCTCCCTTTGTTGCCCTGTGCTGGTCTCAAATTCCTGAGCTCAAGAGATCCCCTCCACCCCGACCCCACAAATTGCTGGGATTACAGGGATGAGTTGCCATGCCCAGCCAAGGATTTGCATTTTAAAGATCACTACTGTGCACTTAAAATTATTAGGATAATAGATCTCGTGTCAAGAATTCTTACCAAAATGAAGCAAAATTCGCACACAAAAAAAGAATAAGCAAGGATGGATTCCAGTCCCCAGTCCTCAAATGAAGGGTTGCACTGTCCTGATAATGTTCTTTCCCTTGGGGAAAACACATCTAAAATCCTTGCAAAAACTCCTCCGAATTAGAGAGATGAGAAAGAGAGTCAGATGAAGAGAGAACACAGTTCTCATCTTACCTGTGACATTTTTCCTGGGGGCAGGGGTAAGTCAGGGGGCAGTGAGGCTGACACAGACACAGAAGGACAGGTGACACCTCTGTGGACCAATGGTCTGGAATTGTCTTCCTGTCCTCTGAATATGAGCTCTCTCTTGGGCTTCCAGAAGTTACTGGACCTTGAGCAACTTTGATCAAGATTCCCATGTGCTCCTTGTTTTTCTTCTGGCCAATGAGTGGCTTCTATCTGTGGGGACAGATAGCTGAGCATCCCGAGGTTTATCACATGGTCAGCTGCTCCACTGTGGCTTTATGTGCCCAGGCAGGTCCTTCCTGTCTCCATAGGGCTCCTTTCTCTTACTCTGGTCAGAGCTCCGCATAGCCCTGGCAGCCCCTGACTCCCTCATCCTAGGGACAGGGAATAGGGCCTTGCAAGGAGTAGACCCAGTTCCAAGTTGGATATGTTGAGTCAGTTTCTAGTGAGCTGAACTTCATGGCATTGCTCTTGATAAACACAAGATCAAGATCAAATTCAGAGAACCCCTCAGGCAAAAGCTTTCACCATGCTTCACTCCCAAAGAAAGCACCCCTTGAGGGGTGTTCCAATACAATTTGTGCAGAGAGAAGCCAGTAATGTGGCCCTTTCTTCACCTCAGTAAGAAAAGCTTGGCCCTAGCCCTCACAGTTTGAAAAGAGTGTCCTCCTATTACAGGCATGGGTATGTATTGGGACTTCTGTGTCCACATTTCACCTGCATTCTCAACTCTCAGGGACCACAGCAGGTCTGAGAGATTCTGCCTGTCTTTCTGACACACATCGGGTCAACCCTGTGCACTGACTGATGTCTTAGGACTCAGATTCGGGGTTGCCATGAGCTCACTGTCATTTTACCTTCTCAGTACTTTTCCCTTGCTCTGATCTCACCTGCCACATTCACTTTAAGAATGCACATTTCTAGATTATTGATTTTCCAACTGAGTTGTCCCGAGGGCTGATGTTCTGTAAACAGTTATTTCATTTTCTCTGTTCAAAGATGGTTTGTACCCACCATCTTCATGTAACAGTTTCTTGGTCACTTACCATGTGAATATGCAGTCTCTGGGCATGGAGTCCCCTGGACTCTCAATATCTTGTGTCCTGTTTTGCCACCTGATCCTAGTTAGGACAGGCACTGAAAATCAACACCAATGACGTATTGTTACCCTGAGAGAAAATGTCTTGCTTAAGTGTAGAATAACATTTTCTGTTGTCTCTTGTCACCCCTCCTAGCCTTTTCCCCACAATCCCACAGTCATGTTGATGCATGCTGAAGGGTGTTATGCCCCACTCTGTTCCTCCCACACTGACCGGCTTTTCTCACCCATCAGCTCTGAAGTACAAGAGGCTCCTGGACTTCAAGGTGCTCTGCAAGCTCCTCACCTGTATCTGCCTCCCAGTTTCCACAGTGCCCTTTCATGGCCTTTCTCCTGGACATACGAAGTGTGCTTCTCAGAGGAGTTTTACTTAGTGGAATTATCTGTCTCTTAAAGTGTAATCTGTATCTTTTGAATGAAAAAAAAAAGACCTACATTTGTTCTCTCTGGTATGCAGACACCAGACTCTTTTGTGACCCCTGAAATCAGTTTCTCTGTTTCTGATGAACTCTGGAGGTTTTGTCACTGCTGCTGCACTGCTTTACTTGATTCCAGGAATTCGTCCTTTGTCCTCTGTGGAAGTTTTAGTTCAGGTCTCATTTTTTTCCCTTAAGCACAAGACCCCTCCCTTAATGTAACACCACACGTTCTCCAGCGCAGGCCATCTGTTCTATTGAAGCGATTCCAACAGCTTCTGCAATTAACTTGTCAAGAGAAGGAAGAAAAGAAAGAAATGAAATGGTCAGGTATCCCTTGAAGATTCTGATGGTCACACAGAGGGAAAGAGCCTTGTGTGTGGGACCTTGAGTGTCAGGCCACCTCTTCTCCAAGATGGGCAGGGTTTGGTCCATCTTCCCAAATGGAGCTAAAGATCCATGCTGGAAATTTCCCTGCTCTAGAACAGACAGCTTGGAGTGATGAGTCATGATGAAGACCTTTCTATTGATTCTTCATTGCTGGGGTTTCCAACCTACAGGGATGAGGACTGATGCATCTGTGAATGAGCATGCCATTCCCTGGCAGACACCTGAGTTCATTGCTTGCTAAGAACTTGGTTCTACATCACTTCTTCTGAAATAGAAGGGCCTGCTGGCTTGTCAGCAAATAAGCAAAGTTTGGCTTGCTGTTTGGAGAAGCCTAATTTTATCAGTGTCAGCTCAACATTTAAATTTGAAAAAGGAAATTCAGCATAAGCAAGGTTCACATTCAGGTGTATGCTTAAATTCTAGGTATTCATCTCATTCATGAACTCAATCAGTAGCCAGAGTTTCCAGGATGCCTAGGGATTGCCCCCAAGGATCAGTGCTGGTTTGCAGCTACAATACCAGAGTTTGACTCTGATGCCACACTCTGAGGGCAGTCCTCACCTATTGTGATAAAACCCTTCAGGTCCTGTGGCGTAGCCATGGCCCATCCTGGACATGTTTAACTTCACCCACCAGGCACCCATCTCACTAAGAAGACTTTGATGTTCATGAGAAATGAATTTCTGCTGCCTACAGGAAGGAGATAGGACTTCTCTGAACCGTTGAGGCTCCTGCTACCTCCAGAGCAGGCAACAAAGATTAGACCCTGCCAGGAGGGAAGCACACCAGATAAGGATGGAGAATTATCTTGACAAGGGGCATGAAAAAAATTACTGGATGACAAAAAAAATACATCACCAAAGATCAATAAAACATTTGTAGAACACCCCACGGAGATGTGATCTGCCCACTGTACAGATCAGAAGAGCTTCCTTTCTTCTTCTGCGTCAGAAAATATCTGCTTGCTGGTCAATGTCCAGAGGATGATGTGAAGATGGGAAAGGACATTTTCCCTGGACACCATTTCTGAAGTTACATCTCTGTGTGTGCTTTCATTGGTGATGCCATTTCTCTTTGCTTTCTCTTCTTTTCTTGGGAAGACTTCTCTGTCTACATTTGTATATTTATTTGGCTGACTTTCCCTGAATTTGCTGCCTGACTGAGTAATTTATTTCAAAATAACTACATGGCAAGCTGTTTTATGCTGTTTAACTAAATCCATTGATTGAAGCATTTTCTGACACCTGGCCGTCCACATGGAGATTTCTCTTTTCCAGTCTTCCTAGTCTGGAAAAGACGTCACCATCCACAGGAAGTGTTTGTCATTGTACCCAATCTGGTCTCAGTAGCACCATTTACATACCAATAGTGTAAATCTCTGTGTTTCTTATAGACACATGATATGGTTTGGATTTGTGTCCCCGCCCAAATCTCATATCGAATTGGAGAAGCCTGGTGGGAGGTAACTGGATCATGGAGGCAGATTTCCTCCTTGCTGTTCTCATGACAGTGAGTGAGTTCTCATGAGATCTGATGGTTGAAAATTGTGTGACCTTCCCCCTTCACTCTCTCTCTTTCTCCTGCCACCATGTGAAGAAGGTGCTTGCTTCCCCTTGGTGTTCTGCCATAAATGTAAGTTTCCTGAGGCCTCCCAGTTATTCTTCCTGTTAAACCTGTGGAACTATAAGTCAGTTAAACCTCTTTTCTTCATAAATTAGCCAGTTTCAGGTAGTTCTTTATAGCAGTGTGGTAATGGACATAATGGACTAACACTATCTTGTTCTCTGGTATCTTTATTAAAGCATTTTCAGTGTCTGCTCATGCTCTCTTCTTTAACAATAATGTGCTTTCTGTGTTTATTCCTGTGACATGCAGCAGCCAGCACTGCCAGCCCCCATGGCTCTGCATGTCCCCACTGAGGTCCTGTTCCAGTGTCTGCAAGTCCCTCCTGATATTAACATATAACCACTGGCAATTATCTCAACATTTCTATTTTCTAAATAATTTTCATTTTAAAATCCTCCAGTACCAAAAGTTGTTTAAGACAAAAACAAATAGTTAATTTCCAGTTAGCAAAGCTTTCTCTTTGTATTAAGTATGCTTTAATCACATATTCAAAAACATGTGGTTTCTATTTTAATAACTTCTAAAAAATAATTTGGATTTTGTTTTGGGTGGATTATATTGTATGAAATCCCTTGTCTTTTCATATTTTGACCATTGTATTTTAATGTTTTGTAGCATGTCTTAGAATGAATGCAGGCATTCCTTTGGAGCATATATCCAACGAAAAGGAGTGAAATTACTGGGTCAGCAACTTCTTTTTTTTTTTAATATTTGATTAAATGAAATGTTTTACATCTCTCTGTTCCTCTTGCTCTTCTGTACATTATCATTCTTGTGGCTTTTTAAATTCAACTTTTAATTTTTAGATAATTGTAGATTCACATGTAGATGCAAGAAATAATGCAAACAGATCCCATACCCAGTTTTCCAGTGGTAACATCATGCAAAATTATATTATAATATTTTTAATGTGGGTGTTTATCACTGTAAACTTCTCTCTTAGAACTATTTTGCTGCATCCCATAAGTTTAGGGATGTTGTATTTCCATTTGTGTTTGTCTCAAGATAGTTTTTAAATTTGCCTTTTGGTTTCTTCTTTGACATACTGATTGTTCAACATGATATTATTTAATTTTCAAAAATTTGTAAATTTTCCAATTTTCTTCCTGTTACTAACTTTTAATTTATTACCATGGTGGTCAGAAAACAGACTTGATATGATTTTAATCTTCTTAAATTTGTTAAGATTTGTTTTGTGGCTTAATATATGATCTATCTTAGAGAATGTTCTGTGTATGCTTGAGAAGAATGGTCATTCTGCTGCTGTTGAATGTAATGTCCCATAAATGTCTCTTAGGACCTCTTGGTCTATCGTGTTGTTCAAATCCAAAGTTTCCTTTTTGATTTTGTGTCTGGACAATCTATCCGTTGTTGAAAGTGGGGTATAAAAGTTTCCTGCTAATGTTGTGTTGCTGTCTGTTTCTCCCTTCATTGTGTTCATATTTTCGTTACATATTTAGGTGCTCTGAACTTGGGTGCACATACACTTAAAATTGTTATATTTTCTTGATAAATTGACTCCTTCGATCATTACAAAATTATCTTCTTTGAATCTTGTGGCAGTTTTTAACTGAAAGTCTATTTTATCTGATGTGTGTATAGCCACCCCTCTTCTCTACTAGCTACCATCTGCATGGAACATCTTCTTCCATCCCTTCACTTTTAGCCTATGTGTGTCCTTAAAGATATATTGAATCCCTCAGATGCAACACATAGTTGGATCTTGGTTTTCTTTTTCTATTCATTCAGCCACTCTATGTCTTTTGATGGAGAATTGAATTCATTTATATTTAAAGTGATTATTGACAGATGAGGACCTATTACTGCCATTTGTTCAGGGGTTTCTGACTATTTTGTAGATATTTTGTTCTTTCTTCCTCTTGCTGTATTCCTTTGTAATTTAATGATTTTTTTGTGTGGTAATATGCTTTGATTTTACTCTTTTTGTCTTGTGTGTACCTACTACAGGTTTTTGTTTGTTGTTGCCATAAGACTTACATAAAATATCTTACAGTTTTTAGTCTATGTGAAGCTGCTAATAACTTAACTTCAACTGCATACAAAAACCCTACACTTTAACTTCTTCTCTCTACACATTTTTATGTTATTCATGTCACAATTTACATCTTTTCATACTCTGTATCCACCAACAAATTATTATGGCTATAATTGTTTTATTTTATCTTTTAATTTTATACTAGAATTAAAAGTGACTTATGCCATCAGAGTATGAGAGAAGTCTGAATTGTACTATATTCTTATTTTTACAGTGAGTTTTATACTTTTGAAATGAGAAAAGTTCCCTTGTTCCCCTCGCGGGGCACGTGATGGGGGTGTGGCTTGCTTCTTCAGTGCCCCACTGCTCAAACCTCTAGGGGAGCATACAGATGGGCAGATTGTGGGGCTCCGACCCCACGGTGGCATCTAGGGGTGGATGTTTACAGCTCCTGAAGCCCTAGGAGGAGAAACTTCTCATCTGCTAAATGGGGCTCCCTTGCAGCTCTGAGGTTCTGAGATCTTAATGTGTGCACTGTGTCTTCAGTGCACACAATACCACCCAACACAAATTCAATGCAATTGATTCCCCAGCAGTTGAACTCAATCACAATGCCACTGGCCTTGTTCTAAAAATTAAAGAACTGCTGCAGGAAGGGCCCTATAAATTTTGTCATCATAACTGCCTGAGCCAGAGATGTGGGGTGTTCCCTGCCAATCAGGGCAGAACAGGTTGACATGGGCCAATGAAGCCCAGAGGTCCTGGAGGAGATGAAAGTCACACAGGCCCCCTCAGAGATATCTGCCAACGTCAGTGTTGGGGTCTCTTCTGAAGGACGCTGTCTGTGAGATTGGGAAAGGTACCCAGCAGCCTTGTTTCTGTGGCCCAATACTTTTTCCACCAGACTCCTTCACGTGCCTAATTTGGGACATGGTTTCTGAGCTGCAGGTGTTGCCCACTCCAGCCCAGAGATCCCAGAACATCCTGCAAGCTCAGACGCAGGATAAAGGGCCACAGGAGCAGGAGCCTCCTCTCTCTGGGCAACTTCAGACTGTTTCCCCACTGTGCTGTCCTAGAAGGGGCTGATGCAGTGAACAGAGCCCTTGGGGCAGGTGGGGCCTGGGCTCAGCTGCAGAGACCAGGGGACGGGCTGGACCACATTCTCTTTCTGCCATATGCAGCTGCCTTACACTACAAGAGGGGGAAGAAGGGAGCTGAGGAGGTAAAAAGAGAAAAGACCCAGAGCCAGCGGGCTTTGTCACATCGGCTGTGACAGTTAAACCTGGCATTACTCGTAATTGCTTACATTTACTACACATTCATACAGAGGCCATGCTGTGGCTAGGCGTCTCTGGGCTAAGAATGTCTTATTCATTTAGAACTAGTACCTCGGACTCTGATTACGGGCCTTGCTGCGTGTAAGGAACAGCACTGCTTTAGCATGAAGCCTAGCCTATTGTCAGTGCTCAGAGAGCTCTGACACCAACAATTGGTTTTCCTACAAAGAATCACGTAATATTTGGGTTATAGAAGCAGGGCAGTGCTAACTGGATGTCCTGAAAGGAATGGACCTGGCATAAGAAGGGATGGAGAGCAGAATTTGAAAAGCATCCAATCCTGAAATTGGGCTGGAGGGAGCATGTCCCAAGCCTGTTAGGGACTGCAGGAAATTCATGACCAGTATGAAGGTGAAGCTGGGCACCTGCAGGCAGGCTGGTCTGCTCTCTCTGCTGTGACCCTCCTCAGGGCAGGCTGTGCTGTCAACAGGTGTTGTGCAATGCCAAGAACCCATGAGAATTCTCACTACGCCAGGGTTTTGAGGCACCCCTGTTCCCAGGTTCCTTCCTAGAACCCTGGTCGCCTTGGGATGACTGGGGGATTCTAGTTGACTACCCAAGGAAATCTGAAGCTTGGGAAGTTTGCAATGTTAAGTCTCGGTCCAGAGTCGGACCTGGCTCCGCGCCTGTCTGGCAGCAGCAGCAGCAATCCCTATCCGGGTCCAGAGCCCTGCCCAGTGGATACTGTGTGGTGTTTCCACAAAGTTGCATCTTTGAGCACCTCACAGAGAATCTGGAGCCTCTCAACCAGGACAACGTGAGAAAAAAATCTGAAGAAAAAGGCCCAGGTGCTTGGGGTAAGAACAGCCAAGCAAAGGGCAGAGGCTGAGTGGGTGCCAGGAGGACACTTTGTCACTTTGGAGACAGAGCCTTTGGCTTAAGGAGTTCCAGGCTGCTCTGGAGGCGTCGGGGGAGGCCTCTGGGACCACCTAGTCATTTTCCGCAAGAAAGTAAGAGATTTCCCAGTTTTGTGCTCATGGGGAGCATTCACCTGAGATATAAAACTTTGGCTGCTTAACTCATTTTAAGGGAATAATAACATATTTGCATACACTTTATTTGGAGGCAAAAGAAAAAAAATAGTCTGTTGAATAAATTATTCTAGATTTTACTTCCCAGGGATTTTTTTTTCTTTCTAAAAATTATAGACAATTCATCTCCTATTCTCCCTTCTTGAGAAATTAACCATTTGAAAACAGATATGTGCCCTTAGTCTGCCTTCCAATATCTCTCATACGATCCATGATTTTTAAAGAAATACAACTCCATTGCATGACCAAAGGGAGGAGGGGGAAATGGAAAGAAGGAGCTGGGCAACACAAGCACCAGGGGGAAGGGCCTGGGGCCCAGGGCCAGCACCTCCCTACTTGTGGGAGCCTCAGCTGTTCCTTCAATCCCCAGGCCACACCTAACCTTGGGTTGAAAAGTGCTTTCTGGGCTGACTCCGCTGTTAGAACAGGTAGGAGGTTGCTTGGTAAATGTTGCAAGAATGTGAACTCTTGTGGTAGAAATATTCTGAGGCTGATTCAGAGGCTGCCTGGGACCCCGTCACAGCTCTGGGGTCTGTCTCCCACAAGGAGCCATGCCCCGAACAGAGGTACCTGTGTCCACTCATCCTGCAGAGAGTGGGAGCCAGTTCCTGCCCCACCTGCTGTCTCCTAAGTGCTTCTTTGTGCCCAGGAGGGAGAGGGAGCAAAGGGCATGGGAACCTCCTGGGCTGTGACCAGTCATCACCTGGGATCCCACTGCCACAGCTCAGAGCTAAAGACAGAAACACCCAGCATTTCACTGCACGCTGATCTCAGCCAGCACTGGGAAGGGCTGGGAGCATGTCCTGCGTGCTTGGTTTCCCATGCCCCTGAGACGCTTTTCCTGCTTCCGCACTATCTCCTTGGGTTGCACAGAGAGTTCCAGCACTCCGCTTCCCTGGGGAAACTGACAATGACTGGCCCTTGATTGACTCACCCAGTGAGTTGGTTTCCTGGGGCCATGGTAACAAACTACCACAAACCAGATGGCTTTAAAAAAAAAAAACAAAAAAAAAACAAAACAAAACAGAAACTCATGCTCTCCCAATTCTGGAGGCCAGAGGCCATAGTCTGAAATCCAGGTCTGGGCAGGGCCAGGCTTTCTCTCCCAGCTCTGGTGTATCCTGGCAGTCCTTGGCTCTCCTTGGTTGCAGCTGCATCCCTCCCACCTCTGCCTCCGTTTTTGTGTGACATTCTCTCTGCCAGCATCTGCCTGTTTCTCTTGTCTTGTACCTACACCAGTCATACTGGATTAAAGGCCCTCCCTGCTCCACTCTGATCTCATCTTAACTGACATCCCAATGACATCTACACATACCCTATTTCCAAAGAAGATCACATTCCCAGGTATCAGGGGTTAGGACTTGAACATATCTTTCTGAGGTCACACCAGGTGACCCTTCTTCCCTAACAGACCATCCAGATCCTCTGTGGCTTTGCAGTTATGAGCATGGGGATCCTTTTGGCATGTACTTCCTTTCCCTGTCACTTTGGCCCAGTGGTTCTCACCTTGGTGAGGTCTGGATACCCATTCGTAGGAGCCAAGTATGTGAGTAGGATGGGTGTTCATGGAGGGTGGTCTCTGGGATGGAGCAGGGCACAGACAACTGATATGCTACCTAGCAATGTCTCTGTGGAGAGCAAAGATGCAGGAATGGAACTTGTTTTGAGGGCAATCAGCCAGGAGTGAGAGAAGGCCTGGCAGGAGAAGGGGTTTTGCCAATGGGAACAGAATTGATCATCTGGCTCAAATATCAGTTCTTCCAAAATCCTCATAGTGCCATCCTCGAGGGCCCTGGGAGCCCTGCAGCTTCTCTCTGGGGTGACAATAGCATGTGTAGCCTCAACAGGGACACTATAAGAATAAAAGAGTGTGCTATTACTATTTATGCCATGATCACAGGAATACCCAGGACTGTCCCTGACACACTGGACATAGGGTCACCCTACTTCTCCCTAAGTTCAGGTGACACAAGGAGTAGGAGTGAGGTGGGCAGACAGCAAGTGAGAAATGGGGTGGACAGGGCACACAGTGGGGTGGCCAGGCTGGTGCATTTGTGGCCCTGTCTATGGGGCCAGCAGGACCAGTGGGGTCAGTAGAGCATATACTGAGCTTGAAGAGGTGGCATGGAGCACTTAGAAGCTCTATCTGCTGCTTGTCATCTCTTGGCATGTGGAAGGCCTTCTGCAGAGTTACGCTCCAGACATAGCCTCGGAGTCCTGAATATCCCCCAGGCTCCTGGAATCAAGGAGTGTCTTAGACGGCTTGAGCTGCTTTAACAAAAATACCATAAGCTGGGTGGCTTATAAACAGCAAGCATCTATTACTCACAGTTCTGGAGGCTGGAAGTCCAAGATCGTGACACCGACAGATTTGGTGTCTGGTGAAGGCTGTTGCTTGTTCATAGATAGAGCGTTCTCGCTGTGTCCTCATGTGGTGGAAGGGCAGAGGAATCTCTCTGGGTTCCTTTTATAAAGGAAGTAATCCCATTGATGAGGGCTTCACCCTTACGACCTACTCACCTCCCAAAGACCCCACCTCCAGATACCATCGCATTGGAGGTTAGGTATTTAGCACATGAAATCTGGGGGCAACAGACATTCAGGCCACAGCAAGAAGCTTCAGGAGAAAGCTTTCAGTCTTGTGAAATGTGAATGAGGCTTTCCCACAGCCTAGACCTGTCTTCACGCCCCAGCCGCAGCCTCTTGCATTCACGGTGGCTTTTGAGCATCCTCTGACCACTGAGTCACAAACCTCCCTGTTCCCTCTCTATCTGGCTATTTTCTTGGTAGGACCAGAAAAACTTTTTTTTATAGTCTTGCCACCATGCCATGTAGTTTTCGTACATTGCAGCTATTTCAAATTACTGCATTACCACAGAACACTTTTTCTGTAATAACCCAGAATCAACAGTTTTTTTCTAGCTGTTAACCTGGCCTCAAAATCTTCCCTTTATTTGGGCCCCCTTTTTCTTCTGTCCTTAACTCTGACTCTGGTAGAGCCCATGGAACTGACAGTTCAAAGCCCGCGTGGCTTTTCTCTCCCCACCACAACATCTTCATCTAAATAGAGTCTTGTAACATTTACCTGCCCTCTCTCCCTTGAAAATCACTGTTCCCTGGTCCCTGTTGGGGAGCCTGGGCCTTAAGCCCCTTTGTCTTTGCCCTAGAAGAACTTCCTCTCCAGCTGAGTCAGGTTCTCATGAGATTCTAGGGGTGGCTTGGCCTCCTATATCCACTTCCCCCAACATTGGCCTGTAGCCACATATGGCCTGGACTTTGGCCCAGCTTCCAGCATGCCCAATAATGTCAGCCCTGTGGGGAAGTTCCTGGAGGTGTACAAGGACGTGACAATTCAGTGGTAGGGACATCGGGGTGCTTGTTCATGTGGAAACTGACTTTACCATTTTCCTCTTTTCTGAGTAGTTTATCATTTCTGGATTGCTGTCTGTCATTTTGGGAAGAAAATCAAACAAGCATCTGGTGAGTATAGGAACAACAGTGCCTCACTTACTAAAAAGAGACTTTAGCGGAACCTCATCCAGTTGGATCTTTCCAAGGTTCAGACAAAGGAACTGAACCCCAGGTTGCTGACAAGTGTCCTTTGGTCAGTGGCCCTGTGGAAGTACACAGGGCCCACTGATCTGGGGGACACCTTTCATGATCCTCATTTTGAAGAGAGTCCTGTACCCTCTCCAGGCTCTGGGTGGCTTTATGGGAAAATTCTGCCTCATCATGACACCCTTTGGTGTTCACTGACCACCGGGGTTCAGGTCCTTGGTGAGCACAGGGGAAAGAGGACAGTGAGAGCATGGGCTGTTAGTTGTGCACCACAGCCTGGGTGAGAAAAGCATCAATCAAAAGAGATGAGCCTTGCTGGTGGGGGCCAGGAAGGGTGCAGAGTGAAAAGGGGGTGTTCAGTGATGGGTGCACATCTGATTGACAAACTTTTGCAGAATCATTTCCAGGCCTTTCTTAGGAGGCTAAGAGGCATGGGTTGGGGGACAGAGATGGGTATGGTGGAGATTCTGGTGACCTGGGATTTGGGGGTCTCCCTGTCCTGACACAGAAGCTGCCAAGAAACTGGCAGCCAAGCCTCAAGGTGGCAGTGCCAGGTTTGGACACTGTCATTCTCTCAGACCTCCCTCAAAGGATCAGATGCCCTTCTTCATCCCCACCCTCAGCCTCCCCTGAGCCCTCCAGGAAAGCAGCCTGTGTGGATCCCCTAAACAAGGGCAGGAGCACCAGCCCTACAGAGCAAGCAGCAGCTGGGTGAGGCAGACGGCGGCACAAGGTGGGGACCACGGTGTTCCAGGGCCACTTAGGCTCCTAGGAAATTCACCCGCCACCATCCTCAGGGACCTCTTCTTTGAAAAAAAGGGACTTTCTCAGAACATTCTGACAACACGAGTTGTGAATCCCTGGGGCTGTATGGAGAAATGGCCCACGACCTTTTTCCATCTCTTCCCCCATCACTGCCCAGCTCTGAGATTGAGCCCCTGGGAAGAGGGCCCGGATCTTTGCCAGAGGCTGCTGGGCATACCTGAGCACACGTGCCATGGGCTGTTTGTGACGGGCTGGAACACCTAGCCCAGGTGTCCCAGAAGCCACCACAGACATCAGCCTATTCCTCCCCTGGTGTTGGTCTTTGAAAAGTGAGTCTGGACACCGCAAAACTGGAATCCAGGTTTCCTACTTTCGAGGGGAGGTAGCCCCCCATGGCGCAGCTGTGATTCTCAGCCCTCCTCTGGGCCGTGCCCCAGCCGGGATCTGAACATCCACCCTCGGCCCCAGGTGCTGTTGCCCCCACACTGAGCCCTCGTACCCCATGCTCCCTGGCCCTCCTGCCAGGGCACCCTTTTCACAAAGTGGAGTGGATGAAAAGAACAGGAAAGAGCACCAACCCTGCTGCTGTCCCCATATGACAGAGGCTGCTGTGGGGGCATCTGTTGTACTTGGGTGAGCAGGCCCCTTGGCCTCGAGCTCTACCGTGCAGGGGTGCTGCAGACAGAGCCAGGTGATAGGAAAGAGCATGTCTGGGAACCCACCTGATGACAGCCTCAGCTCAGGATGAGGCAGGAGGCCTCTGGCTAGGCTTAGGGGAGATGGCTGGAGGAACCTCCTCAGGGTGCCAGTGGACTGGGTAAAGCCATCAGGGGGCTTGGAGGTCAGGGAAGCTGTGATTTATCAAGCACTGTGGGCATTGCAATATTTTCTCTGTTCGGTTCAGTCCAATGGGACATCAGTTCTATACATATCTTCCTCTTCCTCTAGCCCTGCTCAGTCCTGGGTGGAGAAGCTACCAGAACCACATCTCCTGTCTGTCCCACCATAAGTCTCTGCTTCATTCACGCTTTCATGTGTCGTGCATCAAGCAAGCATTTGCCTGTAGGCTTGGGGAGCTCTGAGAGGGGTTGAGAGTGAACAAAATTAATCAAATCGTATAACAGAAGAGGAAGTCCCATCCTGCCGAGGATCCTGGATGTGAGAACCTGCTGCTGGCCTGGTGGGATCGTGGTGCCCCAGGAGCATGAACTGCTCAGGAGCAGACCCTGACCAGATCCCCTGCAGGCCTGGAACAGCCTGATCAGCAGCCTCCTAAGCCCCATGGCTGCCACAGTGGGCCTCATTGTCCTTCCCTATCACCTAGCCGGGGTGTTCCCAGCTGCCAGACAGTGCCAACTGGTGGTGCCTGCCCATCAGTGCCCCAAGACAGCCACTACTTTTCGAAGAATGAGACCACCAGCTGCTTTGTGGCCAGCTCCAGCTTACTGGTGAGTATTTTTAGGTAGAATGTTCCAGACTAGTGAAGTCTTTGAGATTTTCTGCTTCTTGTTCACTGCTTCCTTCTGATGTGGACCATGCGGAAAGAGGCAGAACACAGGAACCCACACATGGGAGAATAGCAGGCATTTGACTGGACTGTGCCAAAAGAGTTGTTCAAGTACAATATCAAGCAAGACTGTAGTTGCAAAAAGACATAACCAACAACTTGGTTTCAATTTGAGCACCTTAATAAACAAACTGATTTAACTGTCATAGTCTCAAGGGATGGGTTTTTCCAAGCAAGAACTCTAGGGTCAGGGTAGCGAATTGCTCAAGAAAGGCCAAGAGCTCAGGGAGACATAGGAACCTCATAAACAGGGTGGCCACAGGCTGGCAGTGCCCAGGTTCAGCCAGGCAAGAGCCACAGGTCAAGGGAGGCTGCAAGAGGCTAAATCCTAATTCCACCACATGCACAAAAATGGATGGGATGGCCAAAAATGACCCCAAAAAATCAGGAAACAAATACGGAATGGGCTTTTTAATTGTTGTTTGCAATCAGAACTTTATGAAAATGACAGAATGTGGTTTCGCATTCTCTGTTGCATTAGAGCCAGTCTGAGCATCAGTATTTGCTCTAAAATGTGTTTAGTCAATAAAGTCAAGAGAACATGTGTGTGGAACACTGAGAAAAGAAGGCAGAGGAAATTTGCATTCCTGCAGCCATAGAGGGGGATATTCTAGGGGTGGAGAGGCAGCAGGCAGGGGGAATGTGTGCACAGCCTGGCCGTTGTCCCATCCCCTCATCGCTGGCTTCAGGCCATCCTCCCATAGATGGAGCAGCTATAATGGGAGTGGAGGGTTGAGGGGCAGGGGAGGCATCTGCTGAGCGGCTGGATGGGGTTTGTGTAGTGGGTTAGGATGAGCTCCTCAGAAACCAGCCTGAGCTCTCTGGCTCAGGAGCTTCTCAGGAAGAGCTGAGAAGCGGCAACCCCTGCCTGAGGGGTCCTTGTGTTCATTTCCCATGGCCACAATAACAGAGGACCACAAACTGGTGACTGAAAACAACAGAAGTGAATTCCTTCACAGTTCTGAAAGCAAAGTCCAAGATCGAGGAGTCGGCAGGGCCGCTCTTTCTCTGAAGGCTCTAGGAAAAAACTCTTTCTTGTCTCTTCCAGCTTTGGGGAACTCCAGGCATTCTTTGGCTTCTGGACACGTCTTTCTAACCTCTGTCTCCATCCTCATGAGGCCTTCCCCTCTGTTTGTCTCTGTGTCCTGTTCTCTTCTTATAAGAACACCAGTTATTGCATTTAGGGTCCACCCTAAATCCAGGATGATTTCACCTTGAGATCCTTAACTAATTGCACCTACACAGACCATATTTCCAGATAAGGTCATATTCTCAGGTTCTATGTAGACATGAATTTGAGGGGGGACACTAACCCACTATAGTCACAGTCTGTACAAATAAATTCTAGATTCTGCCCACCTGTGGCCTTACCTGTTCTACTTGGAAGTCATTGTTCCATGGAAGGTGACCCAGGGAAGCAGAATTGTTCTCCTCCTCAGGCAGATAGCTCCTGGGGACTGGCGTGAGAATTAGCAACTGTGCCAGCACATCACTTTGATTGGTCAAGGTGCCCCTTGCTGCCTCCCAGCCAAGCCAAGCAGGCCCACCCCAGGGAGCATAGGTGGGTAGCAGGTGCTGGCGCTCAGTTTACAAAGGAAGGCCTTCTGCCTCACCACCTCTGTGGACCTGCAAACCGCCCTAAGGGGTGAGTGGGAAGTCCCCATCTTACAGAAGACGAAATTGAAACCCAGACAGGCGGAGACTCTCCATGGAGGCCAGATGAATGAAGAGTCAGGAGGCTCAGCTCAACCTTGGGTGTCACCTGCCACCTGTACTGCTGTCCCTGGAGTGGCCCAGGATACTAGGATATGACACTGTCTCCCAGATCATGAGCAGGTTGAGTCAGGTACGAGGGAAGAGGAGCCAGCAGATGACACTGTCTAAACCCATCTGGTCATCTCAGGAAGGCAGAAGGGTTGGCCAGTCCAGCACAGACCTCGTGCATCCTGCATTTCAGAGGATCCTGTCTGTGATGCTCCTCTTCACGGCATTGGAGCTCAGTGTCGCTATCCTTTCTTCTGTCCTCTTGTGAAAAAAGACCTGTTCAGATGTCCTCAGGGTGAACCTGCTGTGCCGTGGGCTCTGGGGCCTGGGTGGTGGCACAGGGCATGGTCCTGGGGCCAATGGCAGGTGGTACTAAGGTCGACCCATGAATCTTGACCTTAGTCGAAGTCGACAGGTTTTGTTGAGTGAGGCAGCAGCCGGCAGAACAGGATGACAGCAAGTGCCCAGGGTGGAGGAATCACAATAGGAAGCGATGGGACCAAAGAGAGCACATCACACATCTGCTCATTTAGCAAAGCAGGAAACAGGCTAAGGTGCAGAAGCCCTCTGGTCCCTGGAACCCTCAAGTTTTTATATTTGTGTATCCCTTGTCTTTTGTTTCAAGATATTTTTTAATTTCTCTGGTTTGATTTTTTGGAGATAAAAGGCCTTCCACTCAGCGTACAAGGCCTGTTCACTTGCTTTGTCCTCTCCAGAATGTGTTTCCTGACCCAAAGTGACACAGTGATCACCAGCATGCCCCAGGCAGCATTTGCTGACACCGTCCTGGAGATGAACAAGGAGTGCACCCTTAGTGTGGGGGCAGAGAGAGAGAGAGCACATTGTCTGCAGGAGTCAGCTGAATGATCTCACAGACCCCACCTGCTGGGCTCTTCCATTTTATCACAATTATTCCGCCTGTTCACGTGCAGAGAGAACACTTGGGGCAGATTTTAAGACCTTAGAGAGTAACTTGTTTACAAATAAAATATCTCTTTGATGATGTATTTGGATTCCATGTCATTTTGCCACATTTCTCTTAATTTACTGGACACCAACAATGATATAAAAGTTAAGATTTTAGGAAATGTAGAAAATTTCTAAATAAAAATCAAAAAAGAAAATAAAACAACAAAATGAAGAGCTGCCTGGGAGAGATGAACCCATGGTCCCCGTCTTCACGCTAAGATGCAAAAGAGCAGAGCTTCCAGCTTCCAACTGGAGCTCCCACACAAAATACTGGGGAAATCTTCCTCCTTCCAACAATGGTCTTCCTATTGATCCTGAGACCTTGCTGGCAACCAGCCGTGTCTCTGCCCCTCTTTCTGTGCTCTCGTGACTCATCCCAGCTTCTCTCTCTGTGCCCCTTTCTTGTTCCCCTCTGCCCATTTCTCTTTTTATCTGAATCCCCAGATGCCCCTGCACAATCTGAGTGTGCAGAGTGGCCCAGCCCTCCCTAGGAAGGGAAAGCACTGGCCCCTTGCTTGGAGAGAAGGCAGAGACTGCTCTCCCACAAGACTGTAGTGCCCTAAAACCCCCTGATCAGCTCACACCTTGTTTCCTGGTGGCCAGGCCAATGATGAGGTTCACCACAGCCTACCTCAGCCAGGGACCTTATGACTTAATAGGGGAAGAGCCACAGAATATAGCCACATATATGGGCAGAAGTCCTGAGATATCCATGGGGCTGGATACTAAAGGGTCTCCATTTCCAAGTAGAACCTAAGGTTAGATGAGAGAGGTTTATTATCAATGCAGGAGGATCCTCACAGGATACAGGATTTAACAGCCTAACAGGGATTCCAGAAGATAGTTCAAATCAGATTCAAGGTAAGCTCCTGTAAGTATGGAAAAAGTGACAACTCCCCACGAAAGACAGAGGTGAGAAGGCTCAGAGAAGTGGATATGCTGGGGTGGATACACTCTGTAAATCCAGAAAAATCTACCTGCTGCCTATTTTTCAATTGTTCAATTTGCCTGTTAAATCATCTGGGCCTGGTCATGCTAAATTTTTTTAACTACCAATTTTGATTTACTTAATGATTGTAAATCTGGTTTATCCATTTCTTCTGTTTTTTAATTCACTCTGCATTGATATTTATACTACAACTCTCCAAACACTATTTCACAAATCAAGCTTCTATAGCAAAAGTAGGAAAACGTTTTAAGAAATTTTATTTTACCTTGTCAATGACCAAAAACACTCAAGACTGGCATCCTCACCCAATTTCTCTAGACTTTGTTTCTGGGATCATCAGCTATCACATGTTGTATTAGTCCGTTCTCACGCTGCTATAAGACAGCCTAAGACTGGGTAATTTATAAAGGAAAGAGGTTTAATTGACTCCCAGGTCTGCAGGGCTGGAGTGGCCCCAGAAAACTTACAATGCCAGCAGAAGGGGAAGCAAACACCTTCTTCTTTACATGGTGTCAGCAAGGAGAAGGGCAGAGTGAAAGGGGACAGGGGGAAGCCCCTTTTAAAAAACCATCAGATCTGATAACAATTCACTATCACAAGAACAGCATGGAGGCAACCTCCCCCATGGTTCAATTACTTCCCACCAGGTCCCTCCCACAACATGTGGGGATTATGGGAACAACAATTCAGGATGAGATTTGGGTGGGACACAGCCAAACCATATCACATGTCTTCAATTTCTGCCTCCTAAAAATGACATCTTTGCCAGGTGTGGTGGCGCACACCTGTAATCTCAGCAGTTTAGAAGGCTGAGGCAGGTGAATCACTTGAGGTCAGGAGTTTGAGACCAGCCTGACCAACATGGTGAAACCCCATCTCTACTAAAAACACAAAAAACTTAGCCTGGTATGGTGGTGTGCACCTGTAGTCCCAGCTACTCAGGAGGCTGAGGCAGGAGAATTGCTTGAACCCAGGAGGTAGAGGTTGCAGTGAGCTGATATCACATCACTGCACTCCAGCCTGGGTGACACAGCGAGACTCCATCTCAAAAAACAAAACAAAACAAAAAAATGACATGCTCAACCTTGGTCTTTCCTCAACTGTCAACTCTGAGTGCTAAGAACCTAAAAGATATCTCTGCTTTACTGCACAGCAAGGTCTTTGTTGTGAGTTGGGTTGTGTCCTCTCAAAATTTGTATATTGAAGTTCTAACCCCCAGTATCTCAGAATGTGACTTTCTTTGGAAATAGTGTCTTTATAGAATTAAAATGAGATCATTAGGGTGGGCCCTAAGAGGATATTAGGGCACAGACACTCACAGAGGGACAACTGTGTGAAGACACAGGGAGAAGACAGTTATCTACAAACCAACAAGAGAGGCCTCAGAAGAAATCAACACTGCGGACACCTTAATGTCAGAATTTTGGCCTCCAGGACTATGAGAAAATAAATTTTTCTTGTTGAAGCTTCCCAGTCTGTGATACTTCGCTATTGCAGCTCTAGCAGACTAATACACCCTTCAAATTCACCAGGGCCAAATTGAACCCACCATTCTCCTCTAAAAATTTCTTTTGCTTTCACCATTTTGTTTAAGGTCCTCACTCTTCCCATCACTCAAACTCTGAAAGTTCTTTTCCCATAGTGAAAAGGCCTAATGAAGGTGTTTCCCCATGGATTCTTTCCTTTTAGTTCTGTCTTGTGGACTGCAGCTGACTCAGCCCTGAGGGTGCCCTTGATGTCCCCGCTTAATTAGCATCTCTACCATTTCACCATTGCTTGCATGAGACAGTCGAAGGGTCATGAAAGCTTCTGTGATCTGGAAGACGTATTCTATAACAGTAGCGTTTCACAGCAGAAGCCAGACTTGCAACATTGCAAAGATCATGGGATTTGGAAGCAGAAAACCTGAGTTTCTATTTGGACTCTGCCACTTACCAAGTGTAGAACTTTTGGAAAAACCTTGGAAAGTCTTCCTATCTCCATTATGGATCAAGAGTGTGACCTTGGTTCACCCTCTCACCATTCTTTCCTTAATTTTTTTTTCTTATAAATAATAGCTTCCACCTTCCACCCTGCAGAGCAATTGTAAACTTCATAACACATGCGAAGCGCTTGACTCAAAAAACAGGAAGCACTAAGGACTGTTAATTTAACTGGCATCTCATTACTTTTATAAGAAAGCCTAGCATAAAGAAAAGGTGTGTCCACTGTTATGGGTTGAATTGTGCCCTCCCAAGAAAGATACATTGAAGCTCTACTCCCCAAACCTCAGAATGTGCCCTTATTTGGAAATAGCAGCATTGCAGATGTCATTAGTTAAGACAAAGTTATACTAGAGTAGAGCAGGCCCTAATCCAATACGGCAGGTGTCTTTACGAAAAGATAGCATGTGAAGACACAAACATACAAAGAGAAGGCAACCATGTGGTGACAAGAGGAGAGACTGGAGTGATGCTCCTGCAAGCCAAGATTGCTGGCAAACCACCAGAAGTTAGGAAGAGGCAAGGTAGGATTCCCTTACAGGTTTCAGAGGGAGGGTAGCCAGCTGACACTTTAGACTGCTAACCTCCAGAGTTATGAGACAATAAGTTCCTGTTGTTTGAAGCCGCCCAGTTTGTGGTACATTGTTACAGCAGCCCTAGGAAACTGATACATCTACACAATGCAATGTCCTTCAGCCATAAAAAGGAATGAAACACTGGCATTGGCTATCATGTGGATGAAATGTGAAAACAGCATGTTCAGTGAAAGAAGCCAGGCACAGAAGACCACATATTATATAATTCCATGTATGTAAAGTGTCCAGAATAGGTGAATCCATACAGACTAAACACAGATTAATGGTTGCCAGGGGCTGCAGGAGGGGAGAATAGGAACTGACAGCTAATGAGTATAAGCTTTCTCTTAAGGGTGATATAAGTGATCTGGAATTAGATAGCAATGATAGTTCCAAATCTTGTGAATATATTTAAAATTAAATTGTGTAACTTAAAATGGTGAATTTTATGTGGAATAATAGCAATAAAATTCAATAGAATAAAACAAAATGAACGACATGAAGCCCAACACCTCACTGGAACATGCAAAACCCTTCCTTTATTCTCTGGTGGATCCCATTTCTCGCCATTGTTCAGTGCTCTCTATGCCCCACCATGCTGTCCTACTCTCTTCATCCTCTGCCTTCTCCCATGCTGTCTGCCTACCTATAGTCCCTCTTTCCCCACGCCCTGTTTTGTTCCTGTGCTGCCCCTTTCTCACCCTGTACTCTTTCACTTTGAAGTCACTGCCCCAGAACCTTCTCTTTCACTCCACGATTGGGTTGTGTTGACCCACTTGCACATCATATGTTTCTGAGGGCAGAAATGTTGGCCCATAATTACAGTTGTCTGGTTATGTCTCTGTCTCCCTCACTAACATGCAAGCCCTACAGAAGCAGGAGCTGTGTCCAGCATGTTCACCAGGGTATCTTCCAAGTGTATCACATGATACTAGGTGCTCCGTAGACACCTGCTCAATGTCATATAGGTTCTTGGTCTTCTCTTCCAAATAAGGTAGAATAGTTATTTTTCATTTTACAGGTGAGAACATTCAAGTTGAAAGAAATGAAGAGAATATTTGATGTCCCGCAATACAGGGGAAAGCCGTTACTGCATCCCAGGAATGTTTGACCATAAAGCCCTTCCTTGCCCACTAGGCCAGGTATGTCCCATCATAGAGCCCCTCACCCCACTTGCAGGTTACCCTTCCAAAGTGCTGTTCCAAAAGAGCTCACCGAGACAAGGTGATATTGGAGAAGTGATAGACACATAGATCTATGGAAGACATTGGGAAGCTTGGGAATAAACCCACACAATTATAGCTAATTATTGACAAAGGAACAGCAGCAATTCAACAGAGAAAGGAAGGTCTTTTCAACAGTGTTAAAACAATTGGACAGTCTTTTTTTGTTTTTTGGTTTTTGGTTTTGTTTTTAAGACGGAGTCTTGCTCTGTCATCCAGGCTGGAGTGCAGTGGCAATCTCGGTTCACTGCAACCTCCGCCTCCTGGGTTCAAGCAATTCTCTGCCTCAGCGTCCCAAGTAGCTGGGATTACAGGCGCCTGCCACCAGGCCCGGCTAATTTTTTGGATTTTTAGTAGAGATGGGGTTTCACCATCTTGGCCAGTCTGGTCTTGAACTCCTGACCTCGTGATCCACCAGCCTCGGCCTCCCAAAGTGCTGGGATTACAGGCGTGAGCCACGGCACCCAGTCAACAATTGGACAGTCTTATCCAGAATAATGAATCTTGATCTAAACCTCCTAATTTACATGTAACAAATTGCATTAGTTACAATATTAACTCAAAATGGATCATAGATCTAAGCATAAAATATAAAAATATATAATGCTTAGACTAAAACATAGGAGAAAAAATTTTTCCAATCTAGTTAGGCAAAGAGTTCATAGATGTGACACTGAAAGCAAAGTATAGCAAAAGGCAAAAATAAATTCAATAAGTTGTACTTCATCAAAATTATAACTTTTGTTCTGTAAAATACATTGTTAAGTGAATGAAAAGATGAGCTGTAGATTTGGAGAAAATATTTTAAAAAATCACACGTCTGACAAGGACTCATATTCAGAACACTTAAGAATGCTCAAGCCAACCCAATTAAAACAATCAATCCAATTCAAAAACAAGAAAACAAAACCAGTTTCAGAAATGAGACAAAGACTCAGACACAAACTTCAGCAACGAGGGCACGCAGCAGGCAGAGCAGCCCAGACAAGGTACTCAATACTATGACTCACTAGGGGACTACAAATCAAAACCACAGTGAGATCCTGTTACACACCCATTAGAATGTCTAAAATAAAAACCACAGACACTAGTAGTGCCGGCGAGGATGTGGAGCAACAGGACTAACACATCGCTGCCAGGAAAGCAAAATGGCACAGCTGCACTGGAAAGCAATTTGTTTCTTGTAAGGTTACACATATACTTACCACGGGAACCAGCAATCTCAGCCCTGGTATTTCTCCTAAAGACATAAAAGCTTATGTCCACACAGACACCCGTACACAAACTGTTATAAAAGCTCCAGTCATAATAGGCAAAACCCAGAAGCAAACTAAATGTCCTTTAACAGGTGAACGTGTAAACAAACTATGGTGCATCCATACAATGGAGTACTGTTCAGCAAAAAAAAAAAAATACTACACTGTATACACACACAGGTACACACACATATATCTCCTAATGTTAGCAGAATTTTTTTAATGTGTAATACAGCATTGTTTACTATAGGTAGGATGTTATGCATCGAATCTCTAGAATTTAATCATCTTCCATACCCGAAATTTTACACAAGCTGAAAAGCAACTCCTCATGTCCCTCTTCTCACCTCCCAGTAACCCCCATTCTACATTCTGCTTCTATGGGTTTAACTATTTTAGGTACTTTATCTCAGTGGAATTATACAGTATATGTCTTTTTGTGACTGGCTTGTCTCACTTAGCACAGCGTCTTCCAGGTTCATCCATGTTGCAAATGGCAGGATTTCCTTCTTTTGCATGGCTGGATAATATTCCATTGTGAGGATAGCCTCCATTTCCTTTCATCTCTCAATGGACATGAGGTTGTTTCCACATGGCTGTGTGGGAGCAAGGGGGTTTCTTAGCCACTGGAGCGTCCCATTGGGATGGGGCACTGGTGGTGACCCCTAAGCAGGGATGTGCCCTAATGGACTTGCATCTGATAGGGTCTCCAGGCCACTATGGCCCCATGCCTGGGTGAGGTTAAGAGTTAAAGAGTAGAAAACAGGAGGCCAGTGAGGGGGCATTTTTGGGCCCATGGGAAGGTTTCTGAGGAGATGGAAGGGCTGCAGGTATAGGTTCCCAATATGTCCCCACCCCAGTTCAATTTCAATGACCAAGGGAGATAGCAGAGGTAAAGAAAACAGATAAGAGGGGGTCACCTGACACCTGGTGGACAGAAGCTGACATCCAAGAGGTGATTCCACCCACCTCCCTCCTGAGCTTCCTCCTTCCTCAGGTCCAGTTAGGCAGGGGACCTGGTCAGTGGTGCCTAGTCACCTGCCACTGTGTGACCTCAGACAGGAGATTTGTCCTGGGAGCCTCCTTCCCTCCATCTATAAAAGGGGAATGGACACAGCAGCCCAGAAGGCTTCGAGGAGGAGGAGGACGTGAGAAGGTGTGCTGAATCCTGCCCTGCTGAGCATGTAGGCCTAAAATTTTACACACAAACTGAGTCCCTATGAGGAAAGGGCAAGCCCTCTGCCCTCTGCCCTTCCTATGTCTGCATATCCAGAACTGCCTCAGGTGGAGAGGGCAGAGACTAGGGAGCACCCATAGATGCTCTGATGCTGGCCACAGCCCTTGGGGGTGACAGTGATGAGGACCTGGGTGCACATGTGGTGGAGCAGCCAAGACCAGCCAGAGAAGAGACACACTCATGCACACACGTGTTCACAACATACACATTCACACTCACACACAAACACATTGAATGCATGCGTGTTGACAGTTCAAGGAGTAGAGGACACTGGACCTGGGCCCTGCTGACCCAGGCAGGGCCCCACTCTGATGGGTGCTGTAACCCCAGACGTCACTGTTGCTGAACATCTGCCTGCCTCTGAGTTGTGGAGCAGCTGGAGACACACAGTGGTGTCTGTGAGTGTCTCTGTGTGCAGGACCCTTTTCTAAGTGAGAGGCACATCTCAGCACAGCTGACTGATCATTCTCGGGTAAGTGTGACCTGCTGTCTCCCCTTCCTGCTGACATGGGGGCAGATGCTACCAGATGGCATCACTGGCCTCCAGGGCACTGTGGAGGGTAATGTCGCTGAGCTCCCACCAGGTGCTTTCTCTTCACTGACCATGTATTGCAGCCGTCTCATTCACCCTCACACTGACTTCGTGGAATGGGTGCTAATGTACCCATTTGAAGATGAGATGCCTGAGGTCAGAGGGGAGGCAACTGACCCAGGGACCCAGATGTGACTCTGGACTGTGATCTCAGCCCTGCCTTGTGCTGTCCTGCACTCAACTCCTGGCCTCTGCAGCCTTCCTGCCTTAGATACAAAATCTGCTGAGGATTCCGGACCCCAGTGGGGGTAGAACCTGGCTCTGGAAGAGCCACAGGAATGGGGGGCCCTGTGGGTGGGGTTAGAGGCATCCCTCAGTCCAAGTCTGTGCAAGAAAAAGTTCCCCAGAGGCAGGGATCTTATCCATTCAGACTTTAAGTGTGGGCTCTGATGGTTACTGTGGGACCCACCAGGCACTGGAGTTTTCCAGTTTGGGAGCAGAGCTGGGAGCCCTCTGCCCTCGAATAGTTGTGGAAAATGAAGAAACCCTGGAGGTCTGGCCGAAAGGTGACAGTCATTCCTCCTGTTCTCTGAGGCCTGGGGACAGGGGTTTAACCTGCAAGGCCCTCTCTCTGACCTGTCCTCCAGACGTATCACCTTCCCTTTGTCTCAGGTATTCCCAGGAGAGATGGCCCCTCTGGGTGTTCTCCAGAACCTGTCCCCAAGAGTTCACTTGTTCTTTGGTGACCTGGGAAAACAAAGCCTCTTCCTGTATCAACTGCTCAGGACTGTGGAATCTGCCCTCCCTCCACCAAAGGGAGGCTGCTTTGGAGACAATAGATCAAGCCTTCTCCGAACCAAACATCCTCCTTCTTGACTGGTGTTATTCTTCAAATGGATTCACTGGCCACAGTGAGTAAAGATTTGAGTGGAACAGAACACTCATGAGATTTCTTCTTTCCTATAGAAAACTGGGCATCTTCATGGTGTCTGAACAATAGCAGGAGGCTGATCATATAGAGATTTCTGGTTCCTGGCCCTAGTCTGCCTCCAGGTGTCCATTATAGTCATCATGGCCCTTCACCCTGAGCAGGTAGATGCCGTTCATCCTGCTGTGGAGTGTGTGCCCATTTCAGGACATTTAGGGACAACAAGTCTTGTTGTCTAGGTCTCCTTGTTTTAAAGTCCTCAGGAAAGGGCCCACCTCTGGTCAGGCCCAGGGACTCCAGAAGTCCTGGCAGAGGTGGGGCCATTTGGCTTGGTCCCATTGTCCTGGGGGTGTTGGTGAAATGAAGTTCACCCGGCTGGCATCTGGGAGCAGAT
This sequence comes from Homo sapiens, assembly GCF_000001405.40. NCBI lineage: Eukaryota > Metazoa > Chordata > Mammalia > Primates > Hominidae > Homo > Homo sapiens. Next base: position 785,120 of record NT_167245.2, read on the forward strand.
GTATGGGGTGTTCTCTAAAGCTCTCAGGTGCCATGTAATTTTGGGAGTATTTTGTCTTATAGGGTGGATATGGACAAAGACATGGATATCCTGCTCGCCCAGGAGTAAAGGGACATCATTGCCAAGTATAAGCAGACACAGGTCAGGCTGCTCCCTCCAGGGAGGCGGGTCTCACCTCTCCCTCTGTTCCCTGGTCTGATGGTCCTGGACTCCTTCGGGATGCAGGGCAAGGATGAGCTGCCCACACGCCCATACCCAACAACTTTTATTTTGGCCTCCCTCACCCTCTCTCCCTCTGCCTTGCAGGTTGCTGATCCAGGGCACCAGTGGACACAGGAGATGAAGATGTTTACATCTACAAGGTCATCAGTCAGCTTGAGATTCCACAGTGAGTCAGTCTTCTGTCCTCCCAACCAATTGCCAAGACCAGCTCGGTCGTGGAGACCCTAACCCAGTGGCGCTAGAGGAATTAAAGACACAGACACAGAAATAGAGTGTAGAGTGGGAATCAGGGGCTGATAGCCTTCAGAGCTGAGAGCCATGAATGGAGTTAGACCCACATATTAATTGACAGTAAGCCAGTGATAAGCATTGCTTCTATAGATTATATATTAGCTAAAAGCATTCCTTATGGGAAACAAAGCATTCTTAGCGAGGAGCAGAGAAACAGGCCCTGGCTGATATCTGCAGCAAAAGCATGTTGTTAAGGCAAAAAAGCATGTTGTTAAGGAATCCCCCTGCAGATGTGGAGTCAGGCATGGTCACTCCTGCTGGACGTTAAGAAGGTGAAGGCTGAAAACCCAAGTAAGTACCAGGTATGGTCCTTCCACACTCAGCCACAGCGGAAGAAACAGGCCAGGCCATGTCAGGAGCCCGGGTCTCTAGCTAGAGGAAAAGTCAAGCCTGAGTGATGGTCAGTCCCATATCCTAGGCACAGACGATGGCATGGGAACCACAAGTGAACTGGGCTCTGGTGACCCTCAGTGGCTTTGGAAATAAGATAGAGAAGGATATTTCTGCAAAAAAAAAAAAAAAAAAAAAAATCTTCTTTCCTTCCAGAAGTGCTGAATGATTGCTGTTTGTGGTAGTGAGCCTTTTGTCTGTTATGAGGCTGGTTCCTTCCTGAGGAACCAGCCCTTTAGCCCTGCCCTAAAGAAAATAAAGGAGCAGGGCTCCTATACAGGGCTCTCACTGTAAAGCAACTGCGGGAGAGTGAGCCCCAGGGAAGGACCAGCCCCATCCTCATCCACCACAGGTTATCAGTCCAGGTGGCCACTTAGGGAAGGGAAGAGGGTCTTTCTATGGGCTCACACTCAGGAGGGCCTAGGATTTGGGAGCAGAGGGAGCAGAAAATAAAGCAGCAGGGCAAGATGTCCTCAGCGAAAATAAACCAGATTGACCTGGACATGAAGTGCACCTTCAGACACCATGTCATGTTTTGGGAGCACTACAGAGTCAGGTAAGGCCTATGGGGGATGGAGGGTCCCAGGGGAGACGGAGGAATTCAGAGGAATAGGGGCATCCCATGCAGGAGTCCAAGATAGGACGTGACAGAGCCCCCCAAGGGCTCTCTTGGCCAGGGAGCAGCCAGCATCACAGAGCATCTACTGAGCTCCAAACCATGGGCCGAGCTGGGGCATGTGGGTCCAGAACCCAAGTGGCTACTGAGGAAACAAGCGGTAGCAAACACAATCATGCTGCATGGTGAAAAGTTCTCTCTATGACCCACAAGTACCTGAGGTAGAGACCCACAAGAGGGGCTCAGACTTCACAGGCAACACTGACAACACCAAACACCATAGAGGATGTGGAGCCACAAGAACTCTGTGCATTGCTGCTGCAAAATGCTGCTGCTGCTGAATGCAAAATGGTACAGCCGCCTTGGAAGACAGTTGGGAATTGCTCACAAAGCTAAATGTACTTGTACCACGTGACCACAAGTGTCATAGACGTTGACCTAGCTGACTTGAAAATGTATGTACACCTAAAACCTACATGTCACATTCACTGCCTTATTCATTATCACTAAAACCTAGAAGCTACTGAGATGACCTTCAACACAGGTCCCAGGGGAGATGGAGGAATTCAGGGGAATGGGCGCATCCCATGAAATGAGGTTATACCTGTTTGGTATAATAAAATTACAGGTTAAATCTATAAATATAAATTATAATTATAGATTATTAGGTTACATTTATTTGGTATAATAAAATTATACAGTAGGTATTGTCAAATATGAAATTAATATCTAATGATTGTATTATACCAAATAAGGCAAATATGTGTCTTTTGGACTTAAGGGGACCTAATATCAAAAAAATTAATGAGTCAAAAGGACTGAATTTAGAATTTAATTTTGAAAAAATCAAATATCAAAACTTTAAAACACCTGCTATCACAAAATAGGATCATTGGTCATTGGTCATTGTAAAATAAGTCATTCATTTAACCAAAGTGATAACTCAAAGATTTCAAAAAAAAAAAAGTCAAAAGACAAAACCATTACTCTTTGAGAGAGGAGACTTAATTTTCCAAACAATAAGCCCTAATAAAGATAGCATGAGGCCAATGAAATCTGTTTCTCAAATCTTATAAACAAATCTATTAAATTTTAATGATCTTCACCATACTATATAATTTCCAAAAACCTTTTTGTAACATTTTATAATTTTTTAAATGAAAAAGTGGGTTAATACTCCAAGAAAACCTTGTTAATCTGACACAGGAGCTCAGAGGTTAGTCTTGCATCAGTGAGCCTTTGATACTAATCTTTACAGAGAAACTGTAACCAAGATAAAACCAATTTTATCTTTCAAAATAGGCTCTTACAATCGCATGTACCCACATCTTCCACAATAGCCCCTGGACTTTGAGGGGTAAGATAGTTTCAATTTCTGGCCCTGTGTTTCATGAGTGCAGTTTCTTTTGATTATCATCTTCTCCTGGTTCTGAAGATACGGTTTTAGAAGCTTTCAGTGTTTAAGATTTAGCAGGACTTGGTGTCCTTTTTAGATACAGGAGTCAAAGCCCTGTAACTCAACAGAACAAGGACTTTAAAAGCAATACAGAACATTGTATGGATGTTAATAACTTTAATTTTTTAAATCTCAGTTTTCCTAGGCAAATAAAAAACTTAATGACATAGGAATTGTTTCAATAAAATATAAAATCTGTTTGTTAGGCCAGTTACCAAAAGGCAAAAAATAAATAAAAGACCTGCAGCAATTGCTTTTCCCTAGACTTCAAGTCAAAACTAATGAAAATGGTACTTGAATTAGTTAGATATAGGAAGGGTGTGTCTTGCATCATAAGTGAAAATTTTCAGTTTCATAGAAAAACTTCAAACCAAGAGCACAGAATGTTATATTGGAAGAAAATATTTCCTTTAGACCTTTAAGATAAAACACTTTTAGCATCATGTCACAGTAGCAGTTAGAACCTGAGGAAAAAAAATTATAGAAACTGACAAGAAAGTTGGAGAGAGCGATTATCTCAGGACTTATGAAGGGGAGAGAAAGGTGAAAACAGTGAGATTCAATAAAAGTTGAAATCTGGGGTAAAAAAATTAAAATATCTTGTAATTTGTTAAGAGTAAATTAATATCTTAAGAAAATTTTGTTCTTCTAGCCCATTCTTGAGTGGATTAGCATATTTTTAATATACAGTAAGTGCAAAAGCACAGTCTCTAGAAAGACTAATTTCCTTTTAATTATAGCCAACTTGATCAAATAAATTCTTTTCTCATAAAGTCTCTTTTTACAAACCTTACTATGACTTACACAAGCCACTTATGACATGCCTAGACTTCCTGTTTTATCCTAAACAGCCTTCTTTCCTAAATAACCAATCATTTTATCTTCTTTTTCTTTTTTTTAAGATTTCTTTGTTGTTGCTGCTGTTGTTGCTGCTGTTGTTTCCTTGAGACAAGGTCTCTCTCTCTGTGTCACCCAGGCTGGGGTGTAGTGGCATGATCACAGCTCACTGCAGCCTTGACCCACCCAGGCTCAAGCAATCCTCCCATTTCAACCTCCCAGGTAGCTGGGACTATAGATGTGCACCAGCATACTCAGTTAATTTTCTGTGTTTTTTGTATAGACAGGGTTTTACCATGTTGCCCAGGCTGGTCTGGAACTCCCAGGCTCAAGCAATCTGCTCACCTCAGCCTTACAAAGTGCTAGGATTACATGCATGAGCTATTTGCATCCAGCCATTTTATTTTAGAACAAACATTTACCATGCAAGATTTTTTTCTCATATAAAATTTTCCTTTTAACCTTTCTTACCAAAAATATCTCTTTATATTTTTAACTGTCTTTATATCGCTCTTATTTAGTGGTTCCTTTTATCTTGTTTCATAACCTTTAAATAACCTTTGAATTCAACAAAAATTATTTTCCTTTAAATAAGAACATATTCTTAGCAAAATGTTTTTCTGTAATTTTTTTAATTGTGAATGACCCAGACATTTAATAAATGCCTGTTATGTAATATAACTTTAGATTCTAAATTATATTATGCTTATTTACAAGCATTCCTTCCATTACATTTACCTAAGTTATTTTTAATAGTTTACCTAGATTACTTATGAAAACTGTGATAATCAACATTTAAAGGTATTTTCCTGTTAATCATTTATATAGCCTGTGAATTTCAGGTGTTTACCTAAGTAAGAAGCTTAAGGTTAAACAAATGAGTTTTTCGCCAATAACTCAGGATAAATGACTTATTTATCAAAAAAAATTACACAAGGATAATTATCTTTTGAGTTACATTTATAATTTTATAACCGTCATGCCAAATTTTGACACCTTATGTATATTAGCATTTAATCAAGCTGACTTTTAACCACTGAGCTTTAAAAATCCTTTAAAATCTCATTGCTGTAACCGAGTACACCCATTTTCCTGAGACATCAATTATTATTTTTTTTCTTTCCTTTTCTTGTTCCTTCAGTTCCCCACTCCCTACTTAGGCTTTTAGGAATGCAAATATAGCCTTTTACCTCCCCATTACCGGACTCTCCCTACAGTGCAAGTTCATCTAACTACACGCTCAAACTGGAAAGTCAACTTGAGAATTAACAGTTGATTTATAAACCAATCATGCCCACTGTGGAACTCTCACTCTTTAGGAGGTTGTCTCAAGAGATAACAGCCTGCCCATGAAGGTGCCAGCAGTCACAAGCTGATTGCCCCGTAGATAAGGCACAAGAGCTAGCATGGACCCCCCGCCACCACCCTTGCTCACTTCCTCCCCTGCTTTTTAAAAGTGAAGCCATATGGAGGACACCTGCATTTCTTCCCCTAAGCTAGTTTTGGAAATAAATTACTTTCTTTATACCAGACTTCACTTTTGTTAATTGGACTCTGCAAGCAACAAGCGACTAACCTGCATTTTGGTTACATTACCATGTTTTAGGTGGGACAAACTTCTAATATTTCAAATGTAACACAAATATCAAACCAGTAAAGACTTTATTTAGGAACCAAACCCAGGCTGCCATGGTGGAAAAAGGGCAGAACCTTAGCTACTGAACTACAGCATGGGGCAACCACTATTGCTATTTCAGTTTGGCTTGGCTAGCAAAGGGTTGTTTTGTTATGTAAATAAAGCCCTTCAGGTAATTGAAATCTTTCTTGTTTCGATGGCTGATTTTTCTTTTTTTTCTCTTTGTTTTTCCAGCTTCAGGAATTTAGCCAGTTCAGAGGTCTTGTTCCCCATAATTTAGAACTTTCCTTCAGGTTTGACCAAGTCAACTAGAGTGGTCAAACCCAATGGAAAAAAGACTAAAACAACAAAAACGGAACCAAACAAATAAACAACAACAAAAAAGTAAAGCAAAACAAATGATTGCACAATTTATAAGATTACTGAGCACTCTAATGGTAAGGAGGAATCAAGACCAGCTGGTAGTTAATCTTAACTTTCAGAGAATTTCCAAGACAAACCCCATTTCAGCTACATATGTAGGAATAAGGCCCAGGTTGAAGATTGCTCTCTATCATCCTAGAAGCAGGAAAAAACTCAAAACTCATCTTCCCTGTTGGAAGCAAGCTGAAACTCTGGAAAGGAGTTGCCTGCTTTCCATTATCATGGATTCAGAAAAACTCATCTTTTTGGATGCAAGTAAAACTCTAGAAAAGGAGTTGAACAGCAAAATAAACCTTAGATCTCAACAACATTTTGAGAAATCAGGGATTCTCTGGAGATGATACCTCCCAGGCCTCAGCAAATCGTCCTGTTGGTTTTGTTACTGGCAGCAAATCCATATGGGTCTGCAGCAATCTCAATTCTTGCCTTCTCAGAAGAAAGAATTCGACTGAGGGGCATACGGCAGAGTGAAAGATTGAGGCAAGTTTTAGAGCCAAGAGTGAAAATTTATTAAAAAGCTTTAGAGCAGGAACTGAAGAAAGTAAAGTCCACTTGAAAGAGGGCCGAGTGGGTGACTTGAGAGATCAAGTTCATGGTTTGATCTTTGACTTGGGGTTTCATACATTGGCATGCCTCTTGGGGCGGGGGAGTGGTTTGCATCTCTTCTCCCTTGATTTTTCCCTTGGGGTGGGCTGTCCACGTGCACAGTGGCCTGCCAGCACTTGGAAGGGGCAACATACACATTGTGTTTACCAAAATTGTACACATGCTCACTTAAGGCATTCTTCCCTTACCAGCCGAGTGTTCCTGGAGAAAGGTTATATACTGGTTCAACTCTGCCATTTTGCCTGTTAGTGCACATGCTTAAGTCCACTAGCCCACCTCCTGAGATCTTATTGGGAAGCTGCTGATTACCAACTTGAGGTGTTTCTATTGGGAGGCTGCCTTTCCCTGGCACCGGCTGCAGCCAATTATTATTTTCAAGAGGCAGTTTAACAACTTCCTGACCACCATCTGATGGTTGCCTGACATTCCTGGGCGAGGGTCCCTCTCCTGACCTATTCATGTCTGACTAATTACCTATTGTAACAGTTTGAACAATAAAGATAGCTCAAGGCCAGACATGGTGGTTCATGCCTGTAATCCCCGCTCTTTGGGAGGCCTTGCAAGGCCAGAGGATTTCTTGAGCCCAGGAGTTCAAGACCAGCCTGGGCAACAAGGCAAAACCCTGTCTCTATGAAAATTACAAAAATTAGCCCGGTGTGGTGGCACAAGCCTGTAGTCCCAGCTACTCAGGAGGCTGAGGTGGAAGGATCACCTGAGCCCGGGAGGTGGAGGCTACAGTGAGCAGGGATCGTGCCACTGCACTTCAACCTGGGTGACAGAGTGAAACACTGTCTCAAAATTAAAACAGATAAAATAAAAATATAGCTCATACTGGTACCATGCACAAGTAGATTTGTCAAAGGTCAGGGCCACCTTCACTCAGAGTCTCTTCCGTTGGTTGCCAACTTGTAAACGAAAAAGTATGTCAGATAGGTCTCAATCAGTTTAGAATTTTCATTTTGCCAAGGTTAAGGACGCACCCAGGAAACAGGTATATGTACCTTTCTCAAAGATGATTGTGAGGGCTTCAATATTTAAAGGTGAGAAGTGGGCTAGATGGGAAAGAGGGTGTGGTTATCCACATGTTGCAAGAGAAAAGGAGTAGGCAGGAAAACAGTCAATTATGGATTCATCTCACACTCAGTAATAGGCCCTTTACATAAGGTGAACATAAGACTAGCTACTTGAGGAGCTATTTAACCTTCTATCTGTAGCTATCTGCTGAGGAACAAAAGGAAAGACAGTTTTTTGCATGACTCAGCTTTCAGCTTAATTTTTTCCATTTGGCATAGTGAATTGGAGTCCTGAGTTTTATTTTCCTTTCCCACCTCAAACCCCACAAGCTTTGCGTTGTTGCAGATTGTCCCTCTCAGAATATTTTACAAGATGGTGAAGTGCCTAATGAACATTTCTTTTGTCATAAAGTGAGTTTGGATCCTGAAGAAGCCATCATCTTAATCAGGCTTTGGGATCAAAGTTCCCCTTCACCCGAACCCTGAACAGCACAGCAGACAGGGAAGGACTTACTGAGATGGCTGCTCCCACTCTCCAGCCCCCACTTTCCTGACCATTCCTGGCAGGAAGAGCTGCTGAGCAGACTCCATGGGCTGCCCACACAGGGTCTGGACCTAGCTGTCTTCCTGTGCCCAGCAGCCTGTGAGCCATCCCAGTCCCCTATGTGCAGTGGTCAGCACCCACAAGCCAGCCTTCATAGGGATTCAGTTCATGGGTGTTGCCCTGAGCCTGGCACAGTGGCCTCCCCAGCTTAGCATCTGCAGTTCGGGTCAGGGTGTTCTTAACGGCCCTCACCTATGCCTTTTCTGGCCACACATGAGTTTGGATGAAGCAGGAGTCTCTTCCATAGCTCCTTTTCATCTGAGATGTCCATGACTGGCTCAAGTGAACCACAGTGTCAGGAGAGGGGCACGGAAGCTGCACCCTAAATTCCCCGGGACCTGTGGCAGGCCTTCCTGGTGACCTCTGCCTTCTCAGGTGACTTCTGCCCTCCTGGGTGACATTAGTTCTCCCCTCTCAAGTGATCTGTGCCCTCCTAGGTTACCTCAGCTCTCCCAGGTGACCTCTGCCTTTCCAGATGACTTCAGTCTTTTCAGGTGACCTCAGCCCTCCTAAGTGACATTAGTCCTCCCTGGTTATCTCTGCCCTCCCTGGTGAACTCAGGTCTTCCAGGGGACCTCTGCTTTCCCAGATGATCTCTGCCTTCTCAGGTGACATTAGTCCTCCTAGGGGATATTAACTCTCCCAAGTGACCTCTTCCCTTCCAAGTGACCTGTTTCCTCAGGTGACCTCAGCTCTGCCAGGGGACTTCTGCCTTTCCAGGTAACCTCTGCCCTCTTGGTGACATAGTGTGCTCAGGTGACATTAGCCCTCTCAGGTGACCTCAACCCTCCAAGGTGACGTCAGCCTTGGTGAAGTCTTTCCATGATGACTTTGGCTTTTGCCAGAGGTAGGCTACTGCGGGGGCATAAGCCATATCATGCCATGAGCCACTATCCTGCTCATGTTCCAGAATGAGGAGACATCTGGGTGCTGGCCCAGCTGCTGGCCAATGAGAGGCTTGCCAAGCATGGTACTCTCCAAGGTGGCCTCTGCCCTCTCAGGTGACACAGTCCTCCCATGTGACATTAGCTCACAGTGGACAGCTACCCACGAGGCATCACACAGCCAGGACAGGGGACGGCCACACTGGCTGGGTAATTGTGACTTACAGACAAGGCACCTTCTGTCCCCTGCTCATTTTGAGCCTCCAGGGTATCCCCTGCTGAGAGTCCCACAGGAGCCTGTGACTGGCCAGGGACCTGACACCCCAAGTCAGATGCCTCTTGTCCCCATCAGCAAATGGGATCACAGCTGCCCTGTGACCACCTTCTGCATCCTGGTGTCACAACCTTCTGGCCCTGACCTTATGCAGGGGACTCTTACAACCCTGCTGGTCCTTCCACCTCCCAGCTGGCCACCCTCCCAACCACCCTCCCTGCCCATGGCTAGACCAAGCCCAGATGACAGCTTCTCTCTGTCCTGTGTCCCCTGCCCTGACCCCACATCCAGGAGAAGGCCACACACCCTCCAGCACCCCTGGTCACCCCACCAGCTCCCACCTGTCCTCACTGCTTCAAAGGCAGGCCTGCCCTTCTGGAGCCATGGCCCTGGAAGCCACTAAGCAGTGCCTCCAGCCAGGCCCCAGGGGCATTCCCACCCCTCCTCTCCTGGCCGAGACCACATGATGGGGTCACTGGATGGGACAGTGAAAGGCCTTGGGGTCTGGAAGCAACCACCACTGCCCAACTGCCACTGCCCAACCGCTGCTGCCCAACTGCCACTGCCCAACTGCCACTGCCCAGCCTGATGGCTCCACATCTCAGGAGTAGGCTCTGATTCCTTGGGGCCCCAGGAGCCTCTCAGGAGTCTACATCCCAAGATGTTCTAACTTCCAGAGTCTCCAAGCCCATCAAGAGCAAGTTTTGCTAAAAGTGTTCTGAGAGCTTATGAAGCACATGGTGAGTGGTCAGTCCCTCAGCTCTTCCCCAGAGGCCCTGGGTCCCATGGGGTTAGCAGGGACAGGGGAAGCCTGGGGCTGGTGAGAGGCCAACTTCCAGCCAGGGCTTGATCTGGTTTTCAATGGATTCAAAGTTTGGCCTCCTTTTCCTTACCTGGAGGGGACAGAGGCACTGGGACCAGGCCAAGCTCTGGCTGAGCCAGGGCTAGGGGAAGTACATCCACTGGGGGCCCATGCCATGGGGAGGTGTTGGGGCACAGCCACCACTGTTCTACCTCTTGGGGAAGGGTCTGCAGTGGGGTCTGGAATACAGAGGTTTTCACGGAAGCCCAGGGGACCCTGAACACTTCTATTCCTTCTATCAGGACAAGGAAGGGTTGTGCATCCGGCTTTCCACCTTAAACTGGTTTCTATGGTGCTTCATCGATGAGATAAGGATGCATAGGAGACCCCAGGCCAGGTACCTCCTTTCCCCACAGTGCTCAGCTCCCCCAGCCCAGGGGTCTGGCTTCCCCAGGAGGACCCAGCTCACCCCCACCCCACAGGAGGCACAGGCAGGTCTCTGCAGGGCACACAAGCCAGGACCTGTATGATGGGAGCTTTACACACCAGACACCAGGGAATTCTGGGCAGACTGGGCCAAGACCCATCTTGGAAGAGCCAAAGGAGCCAGGGAAGCCACAAGCCCTCAGGAAGCCCCTTATTCTGGGAACCACATTTCTGCTGAGATGAGTCCATCCCTATGAAGAGCTGCCGGACCTTGTCTGACCCAGCCTTATGGAAGATTGGGTGGGTCTCTTCCCAAGCAGAGGGAGCCTCAGGAAGTCCAGACTGAGGCTACAGTGGGCCCTGCTCAAGCCACCAGCCCCGAGGTTGGAAAGGCCAGGTCCTCCCACACCTGCTGTTCCCACAGACTTCCTTCATGCTCATCCTGTGGCTCTGGGATGTCTACCTACTGGGAGGTGAGTGTGTGGTGACAACTATGGTATACATGGCCTTCACAGCCACAGAATTAAGTCCCTGGGTGGCCAATGGTGCCCAGAAGGAGCATGCAGGACAGACCCTGGGACCTATAGCCAGGACAGATTCCTGGCTTCTGGTGTGTGATGACCTGAGAGCAGCATCCACACTGTCCACATGGCTCTCTGCTCCAGCCTGGAGGTAGGGCCAGACCAGGCCTGGTGGGCTGGGCAGGGAGTGGACCCAGGTACCAAACCCACTCCTGACACAACCCAGATGAAAGGCAAGAGTGTGTTGAGCACTTCCCTGCCCAGGCCTTCCTCCAGCTGTGGTTTTCTGTGAACATCTGGACCCCTGGGGCAGCCACAGTAGGATCCAGCACCGCCCAGTGGTGGGTGCCTGGGGCAGGAACAAGGTGCAGACACTGACTCTCCCACAGACCCCTCCCAGCCTCATAGTCACCCTGTCCCTAGAACACCCCCTGAAGCTGTTCCTGTTTGGCTTGCAGGAGTTCCTTCAGGACACACTGTCCTAGGCCTGGGCCCTGGAGGAGGACATGGTGATGAGGCACCCTGAGGCCTCCATGGGGGAACTGAGAAGCATGCACTGTGACCTGCACACCCAGGTGGGCTTCAGCACCAAGTCTCCTCCTGTGTCACCCTGCGGGGCAGTAAATAGTGGGAAGTGCCCAGACCTCACCAGCCCTGCTCCCTGGGCCTTCCTCCAGCCCCTCCTCTCCCTCCTCCTCTAAGAAGCTTCTGAAACCAGGCTGCCTGAGCCTAGGGCAAAAGCTGACCTTGGGTTTACTGGACATGCCTCAGAGACAATGAGACGTGAGCAAGACTCTTCCAAGCCCCTCCCCTGTACCCTCCTGCTCTCACTCCTGAAAGCCCCAGAAGGACACTGGAGGGGTCAGATCCATCTGTGCAAGCCCACAACCACACCTGTGAGTACCAGCAGCCCTGGAGAGCAGCAGGGGGTCTTCACTCCTGAGCACCCCTCCAAGGGCCTAAAATCAGTGTCAGAGACCCTAAGAGAATCTAGGGAGAGGGCATAGGTGAAACCCTGGCCCAGAGCCAGAATTGATTGCTCAGCCGAGTGTGGGAACAGTCCAGCCCTGGCATGGAGATCCCCCAGAGGAGTGGAGGGTGTCTCATCCACTGTGGAGATAAGCCCCCATATTGTGTGGCAAAGGGGCTAGGTAACAGTTAAGGCCCCATCCATCTGAGCTCTGAATCAAGGCTAAAGCCCAGGCTAAGCAGCCCTGGGGCAAGAGTGTGAGGCAGGAAGACTGAGTCAGCCTGAACCCTGGGGGCTGTCCCTGGAGTGACTTGAGCTTCCCTGACAGCTTCCCCACTCTAGGCTGCACACACACCTCGCTCTGGGAGTAGCAGCCTGCAGGAGTGTCCTCAGCATTAGACCAGGGGGACCACACGGGGACCCTGAGGACTGCAGGGACCCAGGTCTGTGGGGTCCAGCCTGGCAAAAGCAAGATGTTCTCAATGGAAAAGCTGACCAAATCTGCTTTCCTTTCAGCCAAACCTGAGCAAGCACCCCCACCACCCAGGCCTCTGCAGATATCCCCCAGCATTGAGACCCTCCCCAAGGGGATGGGCTGCTTCTCCCTGGCCCACAGCCCAGCTCCAGCAGCCCATGGGTATAGCCCTCCTGAAACAGGAGCCTCATCCTCCCTCACCCTCACCTGGCTATGCTGTACCCAAGGCCAAAGCCCAGAGGCATAAGGGAGCTTCTGCAGAGCCCAGGACAGCAGGCTGCTCTCTGGGGGCCCTGGGGACTCAGAGTGTGGCCAGCCCATCCCCAGCTCAGGATAGACCACAGAGTGCTTGGTGATTCCTGCATTGGAACTCCCTCTCTAAGCTCCCCATGGACCTGGACCTCAGAGGCCTGTGGTTTTCACAGTAGAGCTTGGAGCAGAGATGCTAGGCCCCTATCACTTCCATATGTGCCCTGGACACCTCTAAGATCATAGGACTGGCCTAGCCCCCAATACCAGACACTGCCCAGCCCCCTGATAGCCCAGAGGTAGGGCCAGAGACAACTCTCCTGCATGTGATGCCTACAGCTGATCACCCTTGGCAGACAGTGAACATCACGGCCCAGAAGGAGCCAGGGCAGCACTTGGCAAGCTGCCCCAAAGCCCCAGAGAGCTCCTTAGACATGGAAAGTCAATACTGATGGGGAAGCTGGACACTTGGAGGCCACTGGAGGGAGGGGTGAGCATGGTGTCCCCACAGCCCAGGCCACCCAGCAGCATGCCCTGCATCCATGGTCCCAACCTGTAGGGCAGAACCCCCCTCTCAACGCACAATTCCTAGACCCAGAGGGCCCTAGCCCAGACTCAACCTGAGCCCTGAAAGGGAAGGGGCACCAGGGGTGCCTTGGGGCCTCCAGCAGCAGCCAAGATACACAGGAGATGGAGCCCCCTGTGGCCCTGGCCAGAACTAGTATTTGGCTTAAGGCGGAGCAAGCCCCCTTGGAGCACTGCGTACATACCCGGGGCCTATGTGTGCCTGGCAAGGCCAAGCTGATGATGTTACCAAGCTCAAACTACCACTGGCCACCTTGGTGAGGGTGGGGCAGAAACACGTGGACCAGCCACCAACCTCATCCATTCAAGGAAGCAGAAATGGTCAGGCTCCTGCAGGATAAGTGGCCACCACCAGACCACCAATGGGGCAGAGTTCTGAGGCCCAAGGAGATGGCACTGGGGCCCTGCTTCCAGGGTCCACAATCTGCTCCAGGACACAAGACTGAAGAAAACTAAGCAAATGAGAGTCCAGGAGGCTGGATCCCTCATCTGCCATTCTTGGCAGTTGCATTTTGTGGTCAGAAAAAGTCAGGAAACTTGGCTCTACTCACTGCAGGAGGCTCCAAGGTGGGACCAGAGCTTCCAGCATAGATTCAACAATGCCTAAGAATGCCTCTTCTTGGGGAAAAGGACCCCTTCCTTGGCCTCAAAGCCCCCACTTATTTTGATTAAAGCACAATAAAGTCTTTGTTGTTATGTCCTGCCTGTTTTTGAGTTGCCCAGAGCTCTCTGCAGGAAGCCCTGGACATACTGGGGTGGATGGGAAATGAAGATGGCACAGCCCAGACCCTGACCAGCCTCTCACAGCCTCCCCATCCCAAAGGCCGCAGCAGGGCCAAGCACCAGAAAGGCCAAGGTTCCCACACAACTGTGAGCCACACTGCACTGCAGCCTCCCACTCTCAGGCAGATGCCAGGGTTAAGACCCTCCAGTAATTTCCTGTAATTCAAACTGCACCTGATAGGGACCCCCAGAGGGCTGGGAAGGGAGCAAAAGTTGGAGTTCCAGTGACATTGCTCATTCATGACAGTCTGTACAAAGCATCCCTGAGAGGGTCTGCTGTCACCTGTGTCTACTGTCCCTGGGTGGCTGGTCTCCGGCAGCCCTCCCTTCCTTTCTTCCCTCCTTCCCTCCCCACATCCCTCCCTCCCTCTCTTCCTTCTTCTCTTGCTTCCCTCATCCTTTCCATCTCATCTCCTCTCAGCATCTGGCAATCCCAGGTCCTGAGCCTGTGCCAAGGCGGGACACAAAGGACACCACTGACAACAAGGCAGATGACTAGCGGGGTCGGGGAGCCTTGTGGAATCAGAGTGGATGGGGAGGGGCTCATCTGTGCAGCCCAGGACTGCTGCCCCGGGAACAGTCTAGAACAGTGCAGAAGTGTGTGTCCCTGTGTGTGCACATGTGCACGTGTATGTGTATGTGTGTGCGTGCCTGTGCACACCTGTTTACTCAGTTCTGCTCTAAGTCCATGTCCACGACCCCAGAAGATCCCAGGTATGTCCTCACTGACGTCTGCTGAAATCAAGCATGGCCCCTGCTGGTAGTTATTGCACTGTGTAATGCCATCGTCGGGACCTCAGAGCAATAGAAACCAGTGGACCCCTTTAGGCTTTTCTTTCCAATGGGACATAAAGAAGTTATATGGACAGAAGTTATATCCTGTTTTCTTTCCATTGATTCTTTTACCACCTTTCTCCTCTTACTGATTTTGAATGAAGGGGGTTTTTCATGAGGGTAAGGTAACTGGCAAGAAATGAAATAACAGCCAGATGCAGTGGCTCACGCCTGTAATCCCAAGATTTTCGGAGGCCAAGGAGGGTGGGTTGCCTGAGTCCAGAAGTTCAAGACCAGCCTAGACAACATGGTGAAAGCCCATTTCTACCAAAACAAAAAAATTAGCCAGGTGTGGTGGCACGCGCCTGTAGTTCCAGCTACTGGTGGGGCTGAGGTGGGAGAATGGCTTAAGCCTGGAAGTCAGAGAGTGGAGATTGCAGTGAGCTGAGATCACGCCATTGCACTGCAGCCTGGGCAGCAGAGCAAGAACCTGTCTCAAAAAAAGAAAAAAAGAAAAGGAAAGAAATGAGATACCGAGAAACTAGCAAAGCTTCACCTGGCTGTCTGGAGACAGCCCTTGTGTGGTCCCCAGCCCACCTCACAGGTTCTAGGCTGGCCACCCTGTGGCCTCTGTACTGTGTATCTGGACCCAGGCTCTGTGGGAAGGGTACCTGGTCTGACAAACATTCCTCCATTTTTCTGGCTGCAGCTTGGAATAGGCCCAGACAGCATGTCCAGGAGATGCCAGACAACCTCACTATATCCTGTGAGACAGGCCCAGTGGGCCTTGAAGGAAGGGGTGAGCATGAAGCTGGGCACCCAGAGCCTGAGACCAACTGTCCCTCCCTGTGCCCTGGAGGAGGGGCCTGGCCTGTCAGTGTAGATGTGGGGAGAGAAGGGTCTGTGGACCCAGGAAGGGACATTGGTAGGGGACTTTGAGCACCACTGCTCAGGGGACATGAATGACAGGGTGGGAGGCATCTCCCATTTCTGCCCTGAGCACAGCACCCCTTTGACTCCTGAGGGCCACGAGGAGTCCACTCCCCAGAGCTTTTTGTAGAACCTGCATATGAGTCCATCAGAGGTGAGATTTGCAAATACTTCCTCCAGCCTGGGGCTTGTCTTTTCATTCTCCTCACAGGGTCTTTCAGAGTGCACACATCATTTTGATGAAGTCCAATTGATCATTTTTTTTTCCTTTTATGCATCATGCTTTTGGTGCTTATCTAACAAATATTTCTCTAATCCAAAGTCACACTAATATCTACCTTTTTCCTTATGCAAATTTTAAAGTTTTAGGCCTTACATTTTGGTTTATGATACATTTTGAATAATGGTGCCATGTATGGACTGAAGTTTTTAATATGCATATCTAATTGTTCTAATAGTATTTGTTGCTAAGATTGTCTTTTCTCCACTGAATTTGCTGTACAACTTTTGAAAAACAATTGAACACATATGTGATGGTCTATTCTGGACTCTGTATTCTGTTCTATTGATCCATTTGTCTAGCCTCTTACCAATACCATACCGTCTGAATTTCTGAACCTTTACGATAGGTCTTGAAGTTAGGTATTGTTAGCCATCTTACTTAATTCTTCTTTTTTAGAGGGTTTTTTATTTCTAATCTAGGTCCACTGCATTGCCACACACAGAAACCCGTGCCCTTGAGCATACATACATATGCAACACAAGTATAAATATATGCACAGAACGACAAAGTGAAATTTATCCCAAGAATGCAAGGCTGCTTCAACGTTAAAAATGGGCCAGTATAACTCACCATATTAACAGATGAAAAGACAACAGCACATCATTATTTCAGTATATTTGGAAAAAGCATTAGACAAAATCCATCAACCTTATAAAAACTTCCAGTCTATTTCTATTCCTAAAAACTAGGAATAGAAGTGAATTTTCTTAAACTGATAAAAGGCACCTACAAAAACCCTGTAGTTGATGTTTACTGGACGTTATTCTTAATGATGAAAGACTGGATAGTTTCACCCCAGAGGAAGAACTAGGTGAGGATGTCAGCTCTCACTACTTGTATTCAGCATCCTATGGAGAGTCTAGCAGTGCAAAGGGCTCCTTCCTTTAGTAGACTCAGATTTCCATCTGGAGTCATTATTCTCCTGCTAGATGGATGTCCTTTACCATTTCTCAATCTGTACATCTCCTGGTGATGATTTCTTTCATCTTTTGTCAATCTGAAAACCTCTTTATTCTGCCTTTTTATTGGAAAACAAAATTTTGACTGTGTAAAGAATTCTAGGTTGGCATTTTTTTCTTTAAAAAAAATACTTTCATACAACTTGCAATTTTCCAACAAGAAATCTGCTTTGTATCTTTGATTCTCTGTACATATATGTCTTTTTCTTCTCTATCTAGCTGCTTGTAGGAGGACTCAGCTTCTCGCAGATAGACATGTATGATAAAGATGCAGTAACTACATCAAGTGTGGTATTGTCCATGGATGGATAAATAGACTGATGGAATAGAGCAGAGGGCCCACAGACAGACCCACAAGAGTCCAACTGTGATTGATCACCAAGGAGGAGCGTGATGGTGAAGGACTGTGCTTGTTATAATGTGCTGGGGCCTTTGGATAACCACTGACTAAGTGGGCCAAGTGGCCTTTTGGCTTAGGCTGAAGCAGGATAATAATAACGTTATCTATTCATAGAATTGTTAAAATTACCTGGTTTTATATTTGCAAAGTAATTAGAGCAGTATTGAGACAAAGGGAATCTTCAGTGAACATTTCCTCTAGTCATAGTTTTTTCCACCACTTGACTTCCTGCCCTATTCAGAGTCTTATGTTTGCCAGGACTCAAGCACCTCCTTATGGGGCAGACTCCACAGGGCATGATATGGTTTGGATCTATGTTCCCCACCCAAATCTCATGTCCATTTGTAATTTCCAGTATTGGAGGTCGGGCCTGGTGGGAGGTGATTGAATCATGGAGGCAGATTTTCCCCTCTGTGCTGCTCTCATTATAGTGAGTGAGTGCTCACCAGATCTGATTGTTTCAAAGTGTATAGCACCTCTCCCATTGCTCTATTCCTGCTGTTCCTGCCATGTGAAGACGTACCTGCTTCCCCTTCACCTTCTGCCATGATTGTAAGTTTCCTGAGGCCTCCCCAGCCATGCTTCCTGTACAGCCTGTCAAACTGTCAGCCAATTAATCCTCTTTTCTTTATAAATTACCCAGTCTCAGATATTTCTTTATAGCAGTGTGAGAATGGACCAATACAGGGCATCATGGTCAGTCCTGGGGAACAGCTTCCTGGAGTGGGAGGAGCTCAGTCCTGGTAACCTGCTGTTCCCTTGCCTGAAACCCCTTGTTTCCTCCACCTTCCATCTCATTCAACAAAGCTCTTGGGAGAACAACTTTAAGGACTCCCTATGCCTCTTCCTTCAAAGGTAGCCAGCCAAGAAGTAGATGGCTGGTTGAGCCATACTGACTACCATGGACAGCAGCAACAGAAGGTCAAAGGCAAAGGTCAGGTATTCTTTTCCTGGCAGGTACACAAGGACAACTAAGGGCAGGCCCCAAACCAGGAAGCTGATGGCCACAAAGCGGACAATGTGGTAGATCCGGATGGGTGAACAGTTCTTCAGGCAGTACAGGCTCCTGATGATCAAAGTCAGGCTGGAAATGCCCACCACAAGACAAATAAGCATGTGAAATATTATAAAGCCTGCCTGAAATTGGTCACATGCCAGGCCCTTCTCCCATTACTCACAAACCTGGCTAACCACATGCAAAGAAAGGGCCAGGGCCCAGCTCAGGATGCTCATCACAGCAGAGGTGTGCTTTGGGCGGTGGCAGCACCAGGTGGGACAGAGGACACACAGAAAGCTCTCAATATTCATGGCCACCAGGAGACAGAGACTCACTGTGTCAGAGAAATAGAACACAGGCTCCAGAAACATGGCCACCTGCAATGTCACCTGGTGATACAGCATGAGGATTTTCTCCAACAGGATCACAGTTACACAGGAGAGGTTGACCATATCAGCAGCGGCCAGGTTAAGGACATAGGTCACGTAGGGGCTGCTCCTGACCTGGAAGCAGAAAAGCCAGCAGACCACACCATTGCCCACCAGCCCACAGAAGGCCACCAGCACTGTCAGGATGAAAACCACCTGTTTGCCCACCAACCACTCGCCTCCCGTATGACTCATGTTCACTTGTCCTGGGGTCTCTGTCCTGTTGTCCCAATCCAGCTTCCCAGAGAACACTGAGAGAAACTGGGCCATGGTGGGCTGCCTTGGCTGCCTGGGCACACCCTGCAAAGACAAAGGTTGGTAACTTACCAGGCCTAGGAAGGAGAGTCAGGGTTGCCTTCTGACCTGCTGGGCTTCCCAAGAGGGTCCTGCTGGGCCTCCCAAGATTGGTGGGAATCTCACAGAGCAAAGTCAAGGAGAGGAATGAGTCTCCTGCAAGTGATCCATCCATCCCATATCCTCCACTGCAGGGTACCCTCTCCTGCTTGCCCCCATCCCTCTCTCCACCTCGTTCAGGTATTCTTGATGCTGTGCCCAACACCAGGTGTGTATCCATGCACCTAGGTGCCCATAAAGGAAAGAGGTGCATTTCTTTACCTTTGTTCTCCAACTCTCTCATTGACACAGACAGTTTTCATGGCATGGTTTTGGTGGAGGCACCAGGCAATTCCTCTGCCCTAAGGTTCTGAGATATTCTGAGTCCCACATGGGGCAGTTGCTTTTCAGTGCTCTAGGGAAGGTCTACCCAACCTCTCTCCTGCTCACCTCCCCTCAACTCCTCACTTTCAGCACGAGGGCCTCCTGGTAGGACCTTTATGTTGTTCTGCTGCCTGGAAGGGCCTCTGCACATCTGTAAGCTTTGTATCCTCTTTCCAATCTTTGCCCCAGTATCAACTTCCAGAGAAGCTTCTGCTTCCTATTAACATTGCATTCATCACATGCTGAGTGTCTATGCAACTTACTTACTTCTGCAGAAATCCCTCTGTGGGAATGGAAGATTTATCAGGTTTTTTATTCTCTTCACAATGTTGTTCAATAACTTCTCCAGCTCCTGGAACAGGGTTTGACATAGAGGACTCACTTGGGTATGGCACCTATGGAGAGCTTTATGCAGCTCAGTTACACTTGGGGAAGTGCTGGTGACCTCTTCATAAAAGCAAACTTTGCTTCTGAATCACAGAAGCTTCTGGAACAAAGCTTGTTCTGCAAACTGATTTAAAAAAAAAGGCTTCTTGGACTCCTGAGGGAGACTCACACCTGAACCCTGGGCTACGTCCACAACAGGAGCAGGCACTCTCCTCCACATTGCCAATCACAGGTCTTTCTTTGTAGAATCATGAGGGGAGGGTGACCAACTTATCCTGCTTTGCCTAGGACTTTCCCAGTTTAAGCTCTGAACATCTCTTGTCCTGAAAATCCTCATAGCCCTAGGAAAACCAAGGTGGTTTGTTGCCCAACTTGAAAGTTAAACAGGAGAAGGTCAGTACCCCTTCTGGAATCCCACAGCTTGGTTAAACCCAGTGATCTGAGGAGTTCATGCTGAGACTGTGAGAGCTGACCTCTTGGGGGCAAATCCCAGCTCTTTTTCATAGTAGCTGACTCTTTCTTTGCCTCAGCATCCCCATCTAAGTAAGGGCTGCTGCTATGGGATGAATTGTATTCTTCTAAATTCATATGTTGAACTATCCCAGTACCTCAGAATGTGACTGAATTTGGAGACAGGGACATTAAAGGGGTAATTATGTTTAGATGGGTCATTAGGGTAGGCCCTAATCCAATAGGGGTAGTGTCTTCATAAGTAAAGGAGATTAGGACACAGACACCCACAGGGGGATGACCATGAGAAGACACAGGGAGAAGGCAGCCATCTACAAGCTAAGGAGAGAGGCTTTGGAAAGAAATGATCCCGGCAATCTTTGGATCTCAGACTTTCAGCCTCCTAAAACTGAGAGAATGAACTTCTGCTGTTTAAGCCACTCAGTCTGTGATCTCTGTCATGGGAGCCTGAACTGATGATCACATTTATGATGAAAAGTTTACAGACGGAATTATGGAAAGTCTCAGAACAGTGAGATCTACCTGGTTCTACAACCCTGAGCTGCTGAAGCTTTGCTTCTGAATCACAGAAGCTTCTAGAACAGAGCTTGTTCCACAAACTAACTGATAAATGCCTGCGATATGCCTGGAAATATTCCACAGGTGACCTTGTGGCCTGCAGTCACATATTGGTGCATCAGCAGGGTTTAGGAGAATGCTAGGGACCAGCTCCAAGTGAGCCCAGTGTTTGAATCTTCCCTCCTTGCTGGGATGATGGAGTCCCCTTCAGTTGGCAGCTCTCTTGAAATGGAAGGGTCCAGCCCCAGCCCCTCCCCTCCCTGCACTTGTTACCTAGACACTCTTACCTGAGGCCAGGGAGGACCGCAGATCTGGCTCAGATCTAATCTGGTCATAGGATGAGTCTTGGGGCTTGGTAACATTGGTGCCCATGGAAACATCAGGGTGACCTGCAGTTCTGTGCCTGGGCCAGGGTGTCAGAACTCGTGATGATGACAGAAGAGAAGCTGCAAACAGACCTCCGTGGCCCACCCCAGGCCACCAAGGCACCAAGCAGGAGCAGTTGGGCTCTGGTCCCCAACAAAGAAAGGAGATTTATAGATAAAAGAGTTTCAAGGGGAGAGGTGACTTACCCTTCAACAAAGAGAAAATGCCCATTTTGGAGGCAGCATGTGGCTTCAGGGACAGAGCCAGGCTTCCCATCCCTGGGCTCACTGAGACCTAGCTCATGCCCAGAGACCACTACTGAGGCCAGTGACTAAGCAGCACATTCTTCCTCATCACACAAGAGGAGGACACAGCCCTCCTGGGGTGGGAAGGCTTCAGTGCCTGGTGCAGCCCCAGCACTGGGCACAGAGAGATCCTAGCACCTGGAAATGTCATTTCCAAGTCGGGTCATGAGCCAAGCTCCCCAAGGAGCATAAACAACAAACAGGTTGGATCCTGGGATTCAGGGAGCCAGCTCTGATGGAAGTGCTCAGGTTGATGCAGCCAAAATAGCCAAGTAACCTTTGCATTGGGATTGAAGTACTTGCTCTGGTTCTGAGTTGAGAGCCCACCCTCCCCACTTAATCTTTATTTGAGGTGAAATTTACATAACACAAATTAACTAATTTAAAGGGCACAGTTCTGCCTCACTTAGCACCTTCACAATGTTGTGCAACCACCACCTCTATCTGGTTCCAAAATATTTACATACCCCCATAAGAAAGCCTTTTACCTGTTAGCAGTTACTCCCCTTGTCTTCCTCCTCCCAGCTCTTGGCAACCCCATCTACCTTCCATTTCTGCACATTCACCTATTCTGGACATGTCCTATTAGTGGAATCAGACCCTCTGTGATTTTTTGTCTGTTTCTTTCACTCAGCCTCTTGTTTTCATGGCTTCTTCACAGGGTAGCATGCATAAGAACTTCATTCCTTGCGTTAGATACAAACTAAATATGAATATAGAAGCTGTGAAATCAGAAGACCCAAAAGGATTTTCCTAGAAGTCATAGACTACACCTCAGTAATACAGTGGCTCAAATCCTACCTTTAACAGAATAACACACCCTCTGCCCATCTACACAGCTGGGGCATTTGTGAACCAGGGGCCAGAGCACAGTTGTGGCTCACCTGCTGGGACTACCCTGGAACCCCGAATCCTGCTTTCTCCAGGAACCTGGTTTCTGTCCTGTCCCCATTTTCCTGAGAAATGCACCTTCCCCAGTAAAAAATCATGAGGTTTCAAATTCCAGGAAAATATGTCTCTGAGTTAAAATGGTTTGAAAATGAAAGAAGGAAGAGAGATCTTTTCTCATACCTGGGAAGTCTTGGATAGAATTGGTACCACAGAGGCCAATGTCCTGAGAGATGAAAGTTCTGCCCACAGGTCAGGAAGCAATCTAACGATGTCTGATTTGAACTGGGTCCTGACAAGAGGTTGTCAATTTCTCTGTGTCTGTTGGGTCTTCCTGTACTGGGGCAAATTGCATATCAGGGCCCAGGCCTTTATCTGAAACATTGTATCTCAGCATCTCCTGATATCCCCCATCCCACTGACACTTTTAATTACTCCATCCTGAACAATAACTTCCCTCAAAAAAGAAGGATCTTTAAGACAAGTTGTCACCTGCCTCCCTGTGTGAATCTCCTAGAATGACATCCAGCCCAGCCCAGCCCATCTGAGACAGGCAGGAGAGGGAACTCTGGTGGGCATTTTGTCAATAAACTTGAGCATGCCAGGAACTCAAATGTGCTCCTTTCATTTTGCTGTCAATTGAATTGCATTTTTTTTTTTTTGCAAAAGATGTGGAAGTTCTTGTAAATCTGTGTCAGAAACTTACATTGGATTCACCAAGCCTAGGGAGATTTGGCTGTGCTTTGTTGGAGCCAATATTTTTCACCCTGGTTTACCCCACCACTGACTTGCTTTCTTTTTTTTTTTTTTGAGACGGAGTTTCACTCTTGTTGCCTAGGCTGCAGTGCAATGGTGCAATCTCGGCTCGCTGCAACCTCAGCCTCCTGGGTTCAAACGATTCTCCTGCCTCAGCCTCCTGAGTAGCTGGGATTACAGGCATGCACCACAACACCTGGCTAATTTTGTATTTTTAATAGAGACAGGGTTTCTCCATGTTGGTCAGACTGGTCTCAAACTCCCAACCTCAGGTGATCCGCCCACCTTGGCCTCCCAAAGTGCTGGGATTACAGGGGTGAGCCACTGTACCCGGCCTTGACTTGCTTTTATGAGGCAAGAAAAGACATGTCTCCTTGTTGCACTAATTTCGATCAATCAATAAGTCAATTAGTTCATTTTCATTACATCTCTCTGAATCAATTGAGAGATAAATTGAGAAGTCAAAACAATGCCCAACAACATAGCATCTTTATTCCTCCCTCCCCTAATGACCTGGGAAGCAGTTTGTGACCCCAAAGCACTTGCTTATATGTTATTCTCTCCAGGAATTGAATTTACTCCTCAAAGTAATAGGCACAGGCACCCATGGTCAACACCTGTCTCCTGAAGCTTATCACTTAATGGAGGGAACCCAGGAGTATGATTCCTCCATGCAGACAGTCAGATTCCAAGGAGAAAGGAGGAAAAGTCCTTCAAATGCCACATTCAGCCCCTTCTTCTGGATGCCCCACTCAGCAAAGTCA